>NC_000006.12:162495032-162646547 GCF_000001405.40 Homo sapiens
AACATCATTTTAATGGTGGAGTTTGATATCCACATTAAAAGACAGTTAATCGAGAGACATCATACAATAGAGCTATTTGGGTAGAGTACTTGGTGAACTGAAAGCCTAATACATAAATTTTCCTCTTTCAGCTCTTACTAATGAAAAAAGTTATTCAAAGAAGTATTTGAGATGGACTTAAATATCAAAACCATACTTCTTACTTTTTTAAACTACTTAATACATATCGTGTTCCAAAAAGATCTAAGTATACAAAATTAGAGTTTTTCTCATCAGAGAATTAAATTTAAGTCCATCAAGAAACCTCAGGCTTTCTGATCTGTACAGCACTTTTTGGTCTTTTTATTTCAGTCTCAAATATTTTGAAATGGTATTAAGTTGTGTCCAAATGACACAGTGGGCCAGTGGCTGGGGGAGGGAGGTGAGACCTGAATGCCAAGAGCTTGGGGAACCATTGTTTCCCACTCTATTCTGATGTCCAAGCTGACACCCACAGCCCACTGACTGTCTCACCTCCAGTGTGCCGTGTGAGCCACCTGGCACACACACACTTCAAAGCCAGATCTCAGTGTGATACCTAAAGAGCAAACGTCATCTTGGTCCTCAGAGCCATGAGCCCTTGCAGATTCTCTGCCAGTGTCATCTTTCTTTCTCACTGTCACTCAATTTTAAAACACTGCCGCCAAGTGTTGTTCATCTTTCCCTGATGGCACTCAGCACCATCACCGACGTCCACAGGTGCTTCCAGACACATCTCCACTGTGCCTCCAGCCTCCTCACCAGGTTCTCACCATCCCACACCTGGACAGCCTGTGACACAGCCGGTCCGGGGTCACCAACTCCTGCCCCCTTTCCATACATTCATTCACATATGATCTAGTCCCCTCCCACATACACTTCACTATACTATCTTTCACTATATAAACCTTTAATGTGGCCAGGTGCGGTGGCTCACAGCACTTTGGAAGGCCAAGGTGGGTGGATCACTTGAGGTCAGGAGTTTGAGACCAGCCTGGCCAACATGGTGAAACCCTGTCTCTATTAAAAATACAAAAATAGTCAGGCATGGTGGCGAGCACCTGTAATCCCAGCTACTCAGGAGGCTGAGGCAGGAAAACAGCTTGAACCCCAAAGGTGGATGTTGCAGTGAGCCAAGATCACATAATTGCATTCCAACCTGGGCAATAGAGCGAGACTCAGTCTCGGGGGAAAAAAAAGAAAGAAAAAAACAGTATAGATTAAAATGATTGATTGTAGAGAATTCTGCTGGTAGAAAAGTAAATTTATACTTGCATGAGTAACTTCTACATTCTTTGTAATGGATTTTACATAATAGGAGCAGGTATTTTGTGACAGTAATAGGCCCACTCAAGCAGCTGGATATACAGCTAACTCTTTATCACTGTTAGGGCTGAAATGAAACTTGGTTTACTTCTTACATGGAAAAAAAGTCCTTTTCCCAAATATCAAATATATAAACTTAGATTCATTTAGAAAAGTTGACTCCTCAGTAGATAATAAATGTCTCAGATGAAACAAATCTCTCTCTCTCTCCTTAAACACATACAGAATAGGAAAGGCTTATACACATGCGTGCAAATTCTGGCTCCTCGCAATGATCCTGAGTGTGTTATTTTCCATTTAAGCCTTGGTTTTTCTCCTTCTAAAAATGGAAGCAATGATATCTATGTGACAAAGCTGTAGAGAAGATTAAATTAGACATAATAAGTGCCTAGCAGAAAAGAGACACTTTAGACGCAATTGATAAATTGTAGCCATAATTATGTATATGAAATACTTGTAACTATAAGCCCATTTTCCATGTTGTTTATTCCTTCAAGGCTACACTTGTATTTGAATGTCTATCTGCCACTGTCCTGGTTTACAGCAAAATCACCTTATAATGAAGAAAGAGGCTGCCATGTTTCGAAACCTCCTTTAGGTGGAATCCAATGGGAAATAACTTATAAATACATATTTTTATTGTATATGTAACAGTATATTTTTAGATTTATCTTAGTGATGTTGTAATGGCTAATTGTATAAATTCTGAATCAGCCTCACTTTTCCTTTTAACTCAGTTCATATATCAACTCTTCAGCCAATGGAAATCTCCTTTATAGGGTGTGGCATAACCATTAACCTCCCTTTGTGCCCCATGTAATTTGACTATAATAAATTTCACTATACTGTCACTGCTTTGTGCATAGTAGATGCTCAGTGAATATTCAGTGAATTTAAACTTGGCAAGTAGTCAAAGAGAAAGAAATTATTTTAAGTAACTAAACTTAACAAAACACCTAACTACGCTTCCGGAAATAGGTAAAAGAACTAAAGATTACATAAAGTATCAGGTGTTAGAAGTCTAGAAAAACATAATTCTCCAAATTGTGATTGTCAAAATGTGAGCCCAGAGATAAATTCCCATGCCTTTGCATATGAGCAAATTGGCTCTACAATTTTTACAAAAGAACTATGGCTCTGCACTGTTGGACTCAAACGCCCTTTGTGCTGCATTTTCATTAATTCAAAACACTTAGAATCATTTTGCAGAGCAGCTCATTTTGTGCAGCAGAGGGAGGCCATGAATTATCTGTTGTGCCTGAATAAAGCTCTGCAATGTTGAGCCGTGTCTTTGCTGAGTCTAGGCGCCTCCACTTCTTACATGCCATGCGAATGACACAGTTTGAAAAACACAACCAAATGTACACAGTATTCCATCTTCTACGAAAAGCATAAGGGGGGAGGAGGAAAAGAGGTTGGTTAATGGAAGTGAGTATAGATAGAAGGAATATGTTCTAGTTTTCAATAGCACAGCAGAATTCCTATAGTTAACAATCATTTATTGTATATTTCAAAATAGCTAGAAGATTTGAAATGTTCCCAACACAAAGAAATTATAAATGTTTGAAGTGGTGGATATTCTAAATGCCCTGATTTGGTCATTACATGTTGTATGCATGTAACAAAATATCACATGTACCCATAAATAAGTACAATTGTTATATGTCTATTTAAAAAAGGAAAAAAACACCATTTAAATAGAAAACAACATAAAAAGAATGTATACATCCTTTACATTGATGAGATCTCTAAACCAGTTGTGTTCAGTTCCACCTTTGAACCCTCAGAACAAGGGATTTGTGCTTATTGCTACTTACTTGACTCTACCTGGTGTTCAGTCTATTGTGTACAAGTCTCCTGTACATCTTATCCTTATACCCAACTCTATAAATTGTAAGCTCCCTGAAGAACGGAGCTTTGTCCTGTCCTTCCTGACACAGGCAACACTCAACATTTGATGTCTATCTAGTCTACGTAACTATCTCTTCCAGCAGAATCATTTTTTTTCTTTCTTTCCTTTTTTTTTTTTTTTTTTTTTTGAGATGGAGTTTCTTTCCTTTTTCTTTTTTTTTTTTTTTTTTTTTTTGAGATGGAGTTTCGCTCTTGTTGCCCAGGCTGGAGTGCAATGGTGCGATCTCGGTTGACTGCAACCTCTGCCTCCTGGGTTCAAGCGATTGTCCTGCCTCAGCCTCCTGAGTAGCTGGGATTACAGGTGTGCACCACCACGCCTGGCTAATTTTGTATTTTTAGTAGAGATGGGGTTTCTCCATGTTGGTCAGGCTTCTTTTTAGAACAGTCCATAAACTGCCGCCTTTAAGTGACTGAATCCTGGAAATAAGTGTCAAAAAACCTAATGTGTATCCATGAAAGTATTACAGTAAATAACATGTAATAATGTGTATATGAGAAAGAAATTGTATTATTCTGTAAGGTAAAATGAGGTTTATGAGAATTGGACAGTAGCCGTTAACTGCTGTTTTATTATTTATCCTTCATGTATAGGCAAGATGCTACTGAAAATGATCATTGTCTAGGTATGACTGAAAAAACAAGCATGTTCATTCATTCGTTTGCTCATCCATTTATTAAACAAATATTTTAATCATTTCAGCAACATGTTTGTGTTGCTGCCAAAGAGAAATTAGATTCTAACATGTTCAACTTAAAAAGACTTCAGTGGCTCCCTGTTGTCTCTGGGAGTAAGTCCAGGTCTTCTGCGGGATACGTAAGTTCTTTCCTGATCTGGCCTCTCCCTGTTTCCCTGTCTTATCTCTCATCACGCCCCTACTTCCACCCTTTATTGTTACTGTCTTGTTTCACACCCTCCATGCCTCTGTAAATCTTGTCTCTGCAAGGAATAGTTTTCTTCTCTCTCCTAACTCCTATATGACCTTAAAGACTTACCTGAGGCAACTCTGTGCCCTGGTAAATCTTTCATATTATTCAAATCTAGAGCAGCTGTTCCTCCTCTAGGTACCCACAGCATCCTGGGCTTTCCTTTGTCATAGCATTTGTCACACCTCTTCAAATCTGTTTCTTTATCTCTCTTGTCCACTAGACTCTTGCAGGCCGTATGATACTCTTATCTGCATGCCCAGTGCCTAGCATGGTACCCAGCAAATTGTAGGCAACCAATACATATTTACTGACGACTGAATAAATGTGGAGACTGGGGCAACTATGACAAAGAGAACAGACAATTAACTGGAATTCAGGAGACCCGGACACTGTCTTCAAAGGTTGAAAGACTTTTGGAAAATTAATCTTTTTGTGCAACTCCTGGCATTAGCTAAGGTGGTTGTCCAAAGCATTCCTTAGCTCTGTGGCTACCTGACATTTTCTAAAAGTGACAAAGTTCTAATGTGTCTCTAGCCGAGAGGAACAGTTACAGTTGGCACTTAAAAACATTATTTGTTTGCTTAGGGAGACATTCTGTATCTTAATTTCAGACTACTTATGACAGGTCTCTGATACAATGTATGGAGTGTCAAATATATCATCTTTTCTAGGTTTTAATAAAAAGAAAACCTTACCAAAAAAAAGGTTGCCTTGACAATATATCTATAGACAATATCTGAATTAATAAACTGACCATTTATTTTCTTTTCTAGTTAAGGATGCCATCTAGAACAAGGACTTGGTCATGACAATTGGAAAGCCATCCAATGGTTCATGGCTCATGGCACTCATATTAGCAAAGGTGGGTTCCTGTCATCCCTACCCTGCCCTTCTCAGCTCAGGTGCACATCTCCTCCCATCACACCAAACAGCCACAAACAGCCTTTCTCTTTTCTTCTTTTTTTTTTTTTTTTTGGTGACAGAGTTTCACTCTGTTACCCAGGCTGGAGTGCAGTGCATGATATCGGCTCACTGCAACCTCCACCTCCTGGGTTCAAGCGATTCTTGTGCCTCAGCCTCCTGAGTAGCTGGGATCACAGGCGCCCGCCACCACGCCCAGCTAATTTTTTGTATTTTTAGTAGAGACGGTGTTTTACATGTTGGCCAGGCTGGTCTTGAACTCCCGACCTCAGGTGATCCACCCGCCTCAGACTCCTAAAGTGCTGGGATTACAGGCGTGAGCCACTGCGCCCGGCCCAAACAGCCATTCTTACTGCACGTCTATATGGTGGAGTTAACTCCATTTCTCAGGAAGACGGACGGAATGAGTATTCTCAACAGATAACAGATTTTCATAGGCTGTGAAACCTTAGTAATTTGAACAATAGAAGAATGACCTAAGTCAGTAGAGTCTCTTTTCTTACAATGGCTTAAGTGCTTTCAGACACAAAGAACTAAATAAGGCATGCTAACAAATAGATTGGCTGGTGAATCCTTATCTTTTTCTTAATGAATACACAATATGTAATTGATATGCTATCTGTATATAACTTGAATGTATTGAAAGAAGGGCCTTAAATGTACCTCAAAAACTATGTTTCTCTAGGTATATTTAATATTATTTCTTAAATACTATTAATTTTATTACTTACATAATAAAGATGTTTTAGGTTGGGTGCAGTGGTTCATGCCTGTAATCCCAACACTTTGGGAGGCTGAGGCAGAAGGACTGCTTGAGGCCGGGAGTTTGAGAACAGCTTGGGCAATATAGCCAGACCCCATCCTTACAAAAAATTTGAAAAACTAGCCAGGCATGGTGTTGAATGCCTGTAGTACCAACAACTCAGGGAGGTTGTGGCGAGACGATTGCTTGAATCCAGGAGTTCAAACTATGATCACACCTCTGTAGTCCAGCCTGGGCAACACGGCAAGACTCTATCTCTAATAATAATAGTAATAAAAGGTGTTTTAATATCCCTCCTCCCCCAAGCTCCAAAAGATAAATTCTAAACTAGTGGAGTTTGGATCAGTGAGGGTTGATGGGGAAAAATGTAAATATAGCAGTCTTTTCACTTCAGGCCAGGCCTCGTGAAATCCATATCTTTAAACTTCATTATGTTTCTAAATCCCTTTTTTCCTTTTTTTTTTTTTGAGACACAGTTTAACTCTGTCACCCAGGCTGGAGTGCTGTGGTGTAATCTCGGCTCACTGCAGCCTCCACCTCCCTGGTTCAAGCAATTCTAGTGCCTCAGCCTCCCGAATATCTGGGATTACAGGCATGTGCCACCACGCCTGGTTAATTTTTTTTTTTTTTTTTTATTAGTAGAGACGAGGTTTCACCACATTGGCCAGGCTGGTTTCAAACTCCTGACCTCAAGTGATCCGCCCTCCTTGGCCTCCCAAAGTGCTGGGATTACAGGTGTGAGCCACCGCGCCCGGCCATGCTCCTAAAACTCTAACCTGTGACTCTGGAATATGTTTACAAGGAAGCTCAAGATTGAGGACACTGCAGGCCATCTCAAAATGATGTCAGAGGGCAGAACCAACGCTTACATTAATAGAATTGCTGGGGCACTAGTTGCCTTGCCGGAGTGGCACCCTTGAAGATAAGAAACAAAATGACAGCTCGCACCAAGTATTCACCCTTAGGCCACACAGATAAATGTGCAGCAAACCTCTTCAGGCTCCACTTGTCTGGAGAAGGAGACACATGATATATTGATGTAATGTGGGAAAAAGACGAATTAAGTAATTTTAAAAATTATTTTAATAGGTCATCTATCTAGAAAGAATGGCAAAGAGGAAGACCAGGGTGGGTGGGCAAAATGCACCATTTTGTTTGTTAAGCAACATCTTAAAAGGTGCAGTTAAAATATATGTACACTTCCTCAAATTAAGCAAACATCATCATTAGGATATTTCAGATACTGAAACTGATGAGAGGCATCCCACGCCCCTCTTTTTTGAGACAAGGTCTCTTCTGTTGCCCAAGCTGGAGTCCAGTGGTGCGATCATGTCTCACTGCAACCTTGACCTTTTGGGCTCAAGCGACCCTCCTGTCTCAACCTCTGAAGTAGCTGAGACCAGAGGTGTGCACCACCACACACAGCTACTTTTTACATTTTTTGTAAAGATGAGGTCTCACTATCTTGCCCAGGCTGGTCTGAAACTCCTGGGCTCAGGCCATTTCCCCAACGCCTCCCAAAATGCTGGGATTACAGCTGTGAGCCACCTTGCCTGGCTGAACAGTACCTCCTGAGATGAAGCAAGGTGTGGGCAGGCTTCACTAAAGGGCAGCATTACAACAGGGAAATAGTCATGCGATATGTCTAAAGCAAATTATCATGCCTAATAATATTTCTTTCAGTTGAATAATTACAATTCATTATGGCTCATTTCTTATCATTAATATTTTCATTTAAAATTATAAATGAGATGATCACATAAAATGAAAAACTGACTTTAAAGTTAAAATAACACACGCTTTTCCTCAGGAAAAGCGTGATCCCAGCATTTTATAGAATTGGAAAATATTTGGGTGATGATCAAATCCAATATCCTCATTTCACAAATACATAAGATACTCAAGAGTCTAAATGATATTTCAATTTTATCCAACTAGTTTGGAATAAATCCAGCAGAACCAGTGTCTCTGGATCCCCAACCCAGTGTTTCCAGAACAATATTCTGTGTTACATAATTTTATATTTATTTGGCAAACTACATTTTAAAGTTAAAGGATCTAAATATAGAAATAGTTTCGTATATTATCTTTCTTAATATTAAAATAAAATAGAATATCTTGTATTGTATTTGGTGGACTGTTTTTGAAGCATCAAATTTATGTATTAATAACTATGGATCATGTATTATTATTCCTCAATGGCGAATTTGGCACCCTACAGAAAATAGTCTTCATTTCTTTTTTTTTTTTTTTTTTTTTTTGTTGGCCGGGGGGTGTTTTTTTAGACAGAGTCTTGCTCTGTCACCCAGGCTGGAGTGCAATGGCATGATCTCGGCTCACTGCAACCTCTGCCTCCCGGGTTCAAGCAATTCTCCCGCCTCAGCCTCCTGAGTAGGTGGGATTACAGGCGCCCACCACTATGCCTGGCTAATTTTTGGTATTTTGAGTAGAGACGGGGTTTCGCCATGTTGGGCAGGCTGGTCATCAACCCCCGACCTCAGGAGATCTTCCTGCCTCAGCCTCCCAGAGTGCCGGGATTACAGGCATGAGCCACCGTGCCTGGCCTATGTTCCTTCCTTTCAAAGAAACATTCATATTTGAATGACTTGACTACATAGAAACCTTGAAGAAAATTCCAAAATGTAGGAAAATTACAGGCCATGATAACATAATTTAAAACATAATCTAATAAAAGTATAACCAAGCAATAGGAAGATAGTTTAGTATTTAAACCATTTGAATATAAAAGCCTTTTAACCTTTGGTCAACAGAGAAAATCCAATTATATTTACCATTATCTAAACGTAAATTAAGTGGGAAAATACCTACAATGTGAATGTTGATACAGCTGAACTCGGAGGATCCGAACAGCTTTCAGATATTGAAAGGAGAGAAGACATAACCTAAACTTACCCAATGTGGGTAAACAGGAGGGTGATGGGGCAAGTGAAGAAGGACAAGGCTGGAACATCATGCTAATTCTAAGTCAGATTACAAAGTGTTTCAATGCCGTGCAAAAGAAATCTGAATTATTTTTAGATGACAAAAAGAGCACATCAGAATTTTTTAAGAAGCAGAGAAGGACTTCTTGGCAACACAGCTGACTGAATTGAGAAGGGCTCTTCTTCCTGCTCCAGGCAGAACTACTGGAAAGAGAGACAGAGAGGACACAGAGAGAGAGAGAGAGATCACAAAGGCAGAGAGGAAGGCAGGCTGACGGGAAACTCCAGGGGTTGGAAAGGCAGAGGGAAGGCCAACCCGGAGTGGTGAGAACACCAGCTGACTCCGCATCAGCCTAGGGTCCTGGTCCCAGACCCTGCTGTCAAGGCTGAAGGATGGAGCTGAGCATACTTGCTAATACGAGACACGTGTTTTAGGGCCTGCAAGAGGCAGAAAGCTAGATCTGAGAATCTGTGCATAAGCCATGACCCTGGAAGACACACTTGGAAAAGGGGTTTACAAAACTTCACCCAAATAAGTGGCAATGAAGCCCAGGGCTCTGGGAGGATAAAAACACACAAAAAATGTTATAATAAAAGTAGTAACTAAAACAGTGACATACTGGCATAGGGAACAGATAATAGATCAATGGACTGGAATAGAAGCCCTACATAGATATGACATCTTGGTGTACGACAGATACAGCATTCTGTATTAGTAGGGAAGGATAGAGTCCTATATAAATGAGACCTAAATGTGAAAAGCAAAGTGTTAACATTTAAGAGAGAAATATAGGAGAATGCTTTGTAACATTAGTATAGGAAGGCTTTATTTTAAAAGTTCATGAAAAAAAGAACTGATACATTTGTCCCCACTCTATTTAAAGCATCTGCACGTTTAGACAAACTATAACCCAAGTGAAGACAAGCCACAAACTGGAAGAAGACACCACTGATAAAAGATTAGTATCCAAAATGAGTAAGAAAACTGTAGAAATCAATATGAAAATTCAAAAAAAGGCCCAAGGGAAAAATTGAGGAAAGACAGAACTAGGCAGGGCACAGAGGAGGTAACCTGAAGAACCACTGGCCGTAAGGAAGATGCTCCACCTCAGCATGAATCAGGGAACGCTGAGGAACATGGCAAGGCTGCCCCATCTTATAGCCATTTTATTGTGGAAAAATCTAAGATTCCGAAGATACTAAGGGAGAGGAAAATGCAGAGCAATGAGCACTTCCATAAACTGCCAGTGGCCACGTAGGAGTTTATTTGTATGACCAGATAGAGAGAAATGTGTAAAGAGCTACTAAGGTTTAGTATTCACATTTCACTGGACCTAGCAACTTCGTACCTATGTTCTAGGGGCACTATTTTCATATGTTCAAGTAAACACGTACAAGGATTTTTAATGCAGCCTTATTTGTAATTGCAAAAAATTTGGCAACATACAAAATGTTTATCAACAGGACAATGATTACATGCATTGTGGTAGTGTCATAAAAAGGCATGGCATGCCCCTATTAAAATAAGCATACTAGAGCAATTTTTCTCAAAATGTTGTTCAGGAATAGCAGAATCAGCATCACCTGGAAACGTATTAAAATGTAAATTCGCAGACCCCACTCAAGAGCTACTGAATCCGAAATGCTGGCAGTGGGACGCAGCAATCCGTGTTTTAACAAGCTCCCTTCCCCCATGTCAGGTTGAGAGCAGTTATACTGGATTTACCTGTGTCCACATGGATAAGCTTCAAAACCAAAATCTGAGCCACAAAAGCAACTATACAATACAATTAACATAAATCTTAAGACCATAAGTAATATATGGACAGAAAGGATATATGCCAACTTTAGGAGGGATGAAGGGGTAATAGAAATAGAAGGGAGAGGATTTCAAATGTACCCATAATATGTGATTTACTTGACAAAATGATATGAAGCAGATCTGGAAAACTGTGAGTATTTGTCACATCAGCGTGATAAGTATAGAGGTGTCTGCTAGATTATTCTCTGCATTTTTCAGTTAGTTTTGAATATTTCACAAGCATACTGGCACAGCCAAGTCAGTGTTTCTGTAGGATAACCACATTGTAAGGGAAGGTGTAAGGCAGGAGAGATGGGAGGCAGGGGCAACAAGTTCCTATATTGCTTCAGTTACCCAGCAAAGGAAGGGAGCTTTAACTGAGGTCTCAGTTTTCTAGGACTTGATCCTCCATTTGGTGCTGGGAGTGAAGAAAAGGGGCAGCCAAAGAAGATTCCAAAATGTGCAGCTATATGGAATGAAATCTGAATCTGAGAAGAAAATGTATGTCCTCATTCAATAGTTGGTATTTGATAATAGAGACAGCAAATGGTGGTAAGGCAAGATGAAAATATCACTGACAACAGAACCCTTGGGAAAATAAAGAGGAAGCAAAAAAAAAAAAAAAAAAAAAAGGAATGCCTTTAGAGGTAGGAAGAAAAAAGGAAGCAAAAGAATTTCTACTGAAGTCAAGAGAGTTTTACAATGGAAAGGATCATGTGGTAGAGAAATGTCTAGCAAGCTAAAGACTGAGAAGAGACATGTGATACTAGGAAGAGAATTTGATTATTACAGTCCTCCCTCCAGCCCCCTGAAATGCTTATTTTATAAGAGATCTTGGAGAAAGTCTATTTCATTATTTGAAAGATTAAATGTGCGATATGGAATTGGCAACAGCAAATATGGACTTACCTTCTAAGATGTTCTGAGACAAAACATAAACACAGGGGCAGTAACTGGTGATTAAAGTTTAGGAAGAGGTGGGATAAAAATGGAATCATGATCCCGGGTGAAAGGGTCAGCTTTGGGAAAGATGAGGAATTCTTGCTTCGGGAGAAGAGGTAAGGAGGAGATATCAATACAGTGGGAAGAGATGACGAGATGAGTTTAGGAAAGTTCAAGGAGCAAATAGCTCCATCCAGCACCAGCTTGGAGGCAAGAGCACATCACAGGTGCCTTCATGCCCTTAAGCGCATCACAGTGGACTTAAGGGGCCGAGGAGAAGAGACAAGGTTGGCACTGGAGAATGGAAAATGGGGTTTGCTAAGAAAAGGTCAAAGAATCACCATCCCATATTTTGAGGAAATTAGGGACAAAAATATTTTATATAATGAGTGAGCATAGTTATTTCAAGTAGCCTGATGGCAGAACAGGAGAGGGTAAAAAAGACCTGGGTTCTTCTGAAAGTGAAGAATGAGAAGGCAAGCACTCCAATATTTGCATTATCTCAACATACAATGATCTGGAAGATATGCTAGAGCCACCT
Organism: Homo sapiens; assembly: GCF_000001405.40. Lineage (NCBI taxonomy): Eukaryota > Metazoa > Chordata > Mammalia > Primates > Hominidae > Homo > Homo sapiens. The sequence continues at coordinate 162,507,125 of NC_000006.12, forward strand.
CCAAAATATACTGAATTTCCATCCATTCCTCTTTCCCCTCTAGTTCTTCATGCTATGATTTCTCACCCAGAACAAGACAGTAGCAGTAACTATTCTCATTTCCACTATGCTGGCTCCCTAAGACTCATTCTCCCTAGAAGCCAGAGTAACTTCTTTGAAACGCAAATCGTATGATTTCACTCCTATGCTTAAAACCATCCAATGGCTTCTCACTGTCCTAGAATGAAATCCAAAGATGGACCCTGGGAAGCAGAAAAGATGACAATCAAGAGTTCTTCCTGTCTCTCAAAAAAAGAAAAGAAAAAAAATTATATATATATACGCATATTCCTTAAGGTTAAAAATACCCAGTTCGCTCCTTTTGCCAGCACCATATTGACAGCCTCAAATTCTATTCAATGATTTTGAAGAATAAATGTTTTTATAAAACTTAAGTAACAAAAAGATCTACTACACAAATTAAATCACTGTTAAGTGTGAACTAGGTAAATTAACTGATAGGAACACATTTACAAGGTATGTATAGGATTTATGAAAGCCTATACTCTACTTTTCCTCTAAAAGACTGATTTTTAATTATATTATTTGAGTGATCATTTGATCTATGTCTGTCTCCCCTGTTGGAGTGTGAGCTTCAACAAGACGAAGATCACCTCTATCTACTTTATTCACAGGATTATCCTTGGCATTCTGCACAGATCCGACATGCTGTAGGGGCTCAGTCAATACTGGATGGATTACCGAATAAATGTTAGTTAAATTACTGAATACTCAACGAAGTAGAACAGAAAAGGCTTGGGCAGAGTCCCAGGCAGGATGAAGGACTGCAGTCCAAACTCTATGATTAAGAAAGTATGAGACTTGCTATATTAGTCAATTTTCATGCTGCTGATAAAGATATACCCAAGACTGGGCAATTTACAAAAGAAAGTGGTTTAATTGGACTTAACAGTTCCACATGGCTGGGAAAGCCTCAGAATCATGGCAGGAGGCAAAAGGCACTTCTTACATGGCAGCGGCAAGAGAAAATGAGGAAGATGCAAAAGCGGAAATCCCTGATAAACCCATTAGACCTCCTGAGACTTACTCACTACTGTGAGAACAGTATGGGGGAAACTGCCCCCATGATTCAAATTATCTCCCACCAGGTCCCTCCCACAACACATGGGAATTACAGGAGTACAAATCAAGATGAGATTTGGGTGGGCACACAGAGCCAAACAATATCACTTGCTTATGTCACATTATCTTTCTAAGCCTTATTTATCTTGTTTAGCAAATGACATAACATGATCTGCAAAAGCAAATGAAAACGCTGTAGTGTCCCATTATCATAAGCTGTGATGACTAACAATTACATGGAACTTAGAGTCAATTTGTTTTCTGACACACTAAAAGTCCTCAGGGTTGAAGAAAGCAACAGCATCTGCCATTTCATTTTCTGAGAGGCATCCCACATAAAGCAAACAATGTCAGTCACCTGCCATCTCTCTAAAGACCCAGTGTTTGTAAGCCATGAGGCCCCAGGGTTAGGGGCTCTCTTTAAGGCCTCTCAGACTCTTTAAGGACTTTCAAGCCTAAGCATTTTTACCCAGCAGCATCTCAGAAGCCTCTATCTAATACTAGAAATAAGACAGAAGCTATATAAGCCCGGGAGGTTGAGGCTGCAGTGAGCCGTGATTGCACCACTTCACTCCAGCCTGGGTGACACAGCAAGACCCTGTCTCAAAAAACAAAAAACAAAAAACAAACAAAAAACAAACAAAATAAAGGAAGATAAAGTTTCTTTACAAAAAGAGGCAGAGAAGACTTCATAGAGATATTTGCTATTCAAGTGAGAATGCTCAGATCTTCTCATGAGCACAAATCCATTATCAAAATAACTAAGAATCTAAGAATGAGGAAACACCACTGACCTCAGTGACAAGTCATTAAACTTCAAATAAATACTCATGATGCTTTGCAGATATCATTGTTGTGGCCAATAACAAATAAAATTTAACCCAGCAGCTTTAATGTCACAGCCCTTCTATTTTTTAAGTGGGTATTTCTACAAACATATCCATTAAACCCCGAGTTTGCCTCAAAATTTTAAAACACAATTTTAAAACATTTACTACCATCACTGAGTTGTTCCTTTCCAACCTGGTATCCATTAGGGACCCTTTTGTTTGGTTTGGCACAGACAGCCCATTCTATACATACTGATTAAGATTTTACTATAAGAACATTTCTTACAGGCAATCCAGTATATATGACCAAATTTGTATATTTTATGTTGCCATATTCCCTGAATATTTAAATGAAAAGCCTCAACAAAAAGAGGATTTGAAAAAATGTCAATATGCTAAATTTAGCTGATCTTAAAAACAAGCCTATCTTAGAACATTCTCTCAGGTAAATCATGCATAATTCATAGATTTTTCCCAAAACATTATATACACATCCATGCATCTCAAATCATTAAAAAATAAATTAGTTTGAAAGTGACAATAGTCAAATACCATCCTGGGATAGAAAAGTTACAGAGATAGCAAATGTCTTACATTACAAAGGATGTACCTTTGCTATCCCCAGAGCAGTATTTTACGCAGACACTGCTGTATAAAAAAGTCATTAGTTGTTTTATTACATCGTTCTGTTTATTTATTTTTAATAAAAATGGTGTAAATCATTAAATTATTCTGAATTTGAAAGGCAATTCCCACTCCTGCTGGAAGCTAGCTGAGGACTGGATGGCCCTGCTGTTCCTGCTTGCGTGAACTATCCCTCCTGGTGAATTATACAACTAGTTAATATACAAAAGAAAATAGGCAACTCCCATTTGGCATGTCATTCTTTTATGCCCGAGAGCTCACTTCACATGCAACAAATCTCCACAGCAGTACTGAAAGGGCCTAATGAAGGAACACAGTGATTTAGGTCAGCCCAGAAAGGCTTTGCTTTCTTCAGTGAAGAGTGTCTTGACAGAAAGCATTTTCTCCGATGTAACATTACAGCTTGGAATCTGCCAAAACAACAGTCGGCACCCAACACCGACACCTCTACGTTCACTAAATAGACGTTTTTATTTACTTAATCCAAAACCAGAGTGGTCCAAAGCAGTTAGATAAAGTTGAGTATTTTCCTCTTTTGCAATTGTAATTGAAATTCTGTTGGTTGAATAAAAACTGGAACTTGCCTTTCTGAGGAATGAATTCATGCCACAGAACTTGTTCAGAATTTGGAATGCATTTTCCATATGATGATGGCAGGTGCTTTCTCACGTGTGAGAGGGCGACACTCCTAGGTAAGTCTGGCCACGATCAAATCTCTGTATTTTCTTGGCATGCAGCCCTTGTTTAGTGGCCTCCTTGGCCAGCTGCACCGAGGAAGCAGGGACTGCTCTCTGGGGAGCAGGGTGAAGACATCCAGCTCTGAGCCCTCCAGGGCCTATTTATAATAGAAAAACAGCCTCTGTTCCCTTTTCAATGCAAAGTACTTTCTCATATCACCTTAAAACTTATTTATACTGCAGGTCATGCACAATGGCTCACACCTGTAATCCCAGCACTTTGGGAGGCCGGGCGAGCAGATCACTTGAGGTCAAGAGTTCAAGACCAGCCTGTCCAACGTAGTGAAACCCTGTATCTACTAAAAATGCAAAAAATTAGCCAGGTGTGGTGGTATGCGCCTGTAATTCCAGCTACTCGGGAGGCTGAGGCAGGAGAATCGCTTGATCCCAGAAAGCAGAGGTTGCGGTGAGCCGAGATTGTGCCACTGCACTCCACCCTGGGCAATAGAGCGAGACTCAGTCTCAAAAACAAACAAACAAATAAAAAAACAAAACATATATACATATATATATATACCCACTGAACAATAAAATTTTCCTACATTTGGGAAGAAAAGTAGGTTTCATAAAGGAAATTTTAATGAAACAACCATTTATAAAGACCAATAGCATACTGTTTTCCACTAATATTTTTTCATGATTGAGATCTTAAAGTTTTTCTATAGAAAATAACCCAGTAATTTTACATTTTAATTATGTCCCCTTTTATATGTTTTCTTTGTGTCTGCCTAATTTAATATTACTTTTTTTTTTCTTATCAGGCCTGGAAGCTACCACTCTTTGGTATTACTTACTAATTGTGTTTGTAGCACTTACTGAGATACATTAGCTCAAATTGAAATGGCAACATGAAATGCAATTATGCCTACTTATAGACATTCTAGATGTACATGTACCATATTGCCTTAAAGTGCAGTTTGTTTTACCTGCTAGAAAAACTGTGAAACAGGAACACAGACATGTACACAGAACTGTACAGAATACAAAAAAAAATGTCTACAGTGTTTTCCTTTCTCACAGTTTTCATGTGATTTAGACATTAAATGTCTTATATGTAAATTCTGCAACTGTAGAAAATGTAGATAATTAAAAGGGAATAGGAAATCAGAATCTAAGCCATCATTTAGGTTCTCTATATTGTTCATGGACTATTAATAATACATGTATACGACTAAAGAGATCATACTAATAAAGCCCATGGTCTGGGGAGAGTAAGGGACTAGTACTCACCCCAGACCACTCTAAAGACCACCATCTCATTCTTGTATTAAGACTCCAAATTGGCATCCCTGCACCTGAGTCTAACCAGCCCCCCATGATACGTGATCTACAGCTTTGTATAGAAAAAAGGACACAATTCTAGTGAGCACTGTTTCTTGAAAACTGCACTTCACATAAAGAGATTTTAATTTTTAATAATTTAAAAGTAATGGAGATTACACTGAAAATGATGATGTCTCAATGAAAATAAGCCTCAGCTAATACAACTCACATGGAGTTGTATACAATGGAGAGTTATTTGAAGCACAACACCTTATATTTATGCTGTGTTAGTGAAATAGCACAGAAAGGTTGATGAAAAGTGTTCACTGCATGCCAATAAGCCAAACATCACAGGAAGTGTGTAAATGGATTAGGATTCTTAGACGAATCTATCTAGCACAGCAATATGTAACAAATTAAAGTGGAAGAATGAAAATGTTACTATCATCACTTTCCTTACAGCTTCTCCTTACTAAAAATGGGTTGTGTCATTTCTTATTACAACAAAAGATTTTCTTGATGGGGATCTGCTAATATGGTCATGGGAGGGGTGGAAATCAAGCATTAACTATGGAATTTAGCACAAAGTATACCTTTACTCACAAAAGGGGGGAAAACATTTTAGCATGAAGATTGCTTGGTGCTTATGTTGCACTGCTAACTGCATATTCTAGAAATAATTAATGCTAGTCTCAATTACCAGCATGCAACTCACATTTTCAGCTAAATCAATAACTGAAATAACAACAAGGGAGAATTCCCCTTATATTATGAATAGGTTCTCAGCCTTATTTAAGCATCAGAATACCTGGGAGTCACAATGTTCTTTGCAGTTATTGTTATACCTAGTGTCCGTCATAGGTGTTACTAATTTTGTCATGCATAAGTGGCAACAATGTTATTACAAAAATCAAAATTATGAGCATGCACATCCACAAAAGCAGTAAGCAACTGATCTAAGTATGACTGGCTGCCTCTATGCTGTACTGTGATATTCGTGTGTGCTATCTGCTTGCTTGCTAATTCCTAGCTACACTTTATTAACAAAGGTAGGTTTAAAAACAATTATAGGATAAAAACTTTAAATTTGGAATATATTATCCATTTACTTATTTTTCCTGAAAAATGAGAAAACATTGCAATTATTCAATTATAGTGATAAAAGATCAGTCTAGCATACGGTGCTATGCACAACAGTACTAACTGTTGGTCAGACGTAATCTTTGCCTTCGAGGTATTTCCAGTCTGTTAGGGCTGGCACAAATCCTAAACTTTTAAATATGTTTCTCATATAGAGCACAGTAGCACTGACATGGGCTACTTGGCTCACTAACCATTGAAGATGAAGAATGCTTCTCAGGGAAAATTATACCTGAAGCAGTTATTAAAACGAGAGCCTGAAAGGAAAGGTGGAAATTATATCCTTGGCAGAGGAAGCAGCATGACCAAGGCAAGGAGACAAAAAAAGGCATTCCAGCTGGGCGTGGTAGCTCATGCCTATAAGCCCAGCACTTTGGGAGGTCGAGGCAGGCAGATCACTTGAGGTGAGGAGTTCTAGACCAGCCTGGCCAACATGGTAAAACTTCACCTCTACTAAAAATACAAAAACTAGCCAGGCATGGTGGTGGGTGCATGTAATCCCAGGTACTCCGGAGGCTGAGGTGGGAGAGTCACTTGAACCCAGGAGGGAGAGGTTGCAGTGAGCTAACACCACTGCACTCCAGCCTGGGCAACAGAGTGAGATTCTGAAGAAAAGAAAAGAAAAGAAAAGAGGGAAAGAAAGAGAGAAAGAAGGAAAGAGAGAGAGAAAGAGAAGGAAGAGAGAGACAGAGAAAGAAGGAAGGAAAAAGGCATACCATGGGCGGGAAGCCAAGTGATAGCTTTTCATGACTGGACTGTCAAAGTTCAAGACGAGTGACTGGAGAAGGTAACTGGACATAAACCAGACTTAGAGGATGGAATAGCAATTATGAATTGGGAGACAAGGCAAATGTTGACAATTTTAGGCATCAGGTAGTAAAACTGTCCTCATTCTTTTGAAAATTAACCTCGCTGGGCACAGTGGCTCATGCCTGTAATCCCAGCACTTTGGGAGGCTGAGGCAGGTGGACCACTTGAAGTCAGGAGCTCGAGACCAGCCTGGCTAACATGGTGAAACCCCATCTCTACTAAAAATACAAAAAATATGGTGATGCGTGCCTGTAGTCCCAGCTACGTGGGAGGCTGAGGCAGGAGAATCCCTTGAACCTGTGAGGTGGAGGTTGCAGTAAGCCAAGATTGCACCACTGCACTCTAGCTTGGGCGACACAGCGAGACTCCATCTCAAAAAAAAAGAAAAAGAAAAAGAAAATTAACCTAAAAACTAAAATACCAGGAAGAACAATTGTGTTTATAATAATTCCCCAAACTAATTATAAATTTTGCAGTAGACAAAAAAATATAAAATATGAAAATAGTAAGTAAAATAGGGAAACATTTCTTAAGACTAATTTCTTCTCTTTCAAACCCTCTTGGTTGGTTAGTTTTTACCTTCCATCTTGTTGAAATTGACTTTTTTTTTTTCTGAAAAAGTAAACTGAATCAAATTCAGGCTAAGCTTAATGCTACCAATTTATTTTCAAAGACAGATAATAAGGTCACGTAGGGCAGTTGTGGGGAAAGGTTAGAAAAAGTGAGTCGCCCTGTATGATAAATGACAGGCTCAATGCATCCGTTCCTTCCAGAAACCCTCAACACAACTGGCTAGCTTTTAATGTAATCAGAAGATATCCACATGGTCTTTCTCTCTGTCCTCTTCTCCTCACTTGGTGATTTTAAGAAGCAAAAGTCTGGCCGTGATGGCTCAAGTTTCCTTGAACACAGCACAAAAAGATAAATGCCAGTATTGCACAGGAGGAGAATATACAGAACAAGAGTTCTCAGTTCTGGCCAGGCATGGTGGTTCATGCCTATAATCCCAGCACTTTGGGAGGCCAAGATGGGAGGATCACTTAAGCCCAGGAGTATGAGACCAGCCTGGGCAGCAGAGTGAGACCCATCTCTATAAAAGAAAAAACAAAAACTTTTCAGTCCTGATGACTAAAACCATCAAAAATGAGACTATATTTTAGACTAAAATTAGACTAAAACTATAATTTTTCTTTAATTAAATCTATTCATGTAGTATAAGTGGTTAATAGAAAGTATTTCTGATTTGTAATATTATATTGCAGACATTAGATTGATGTTTAAAATTGCAAAATTGCAAGAGTGATATACAAAAAAAAGGAATTATTCTAGACAACTAGAGACTCTCCTATATTTAAAATTTAAAAGCATGGTATTGAATATCCTATTTAGGAGGCCTTTGACAACTATTTTTACTTTTTTTTTTTTTTTGAGATGGAGTTTCACTCTTGTCACCCAGACTGGAGTGCAATGGTGTAATCTCGGATCACTGCAACCTCCACCTCCCAGGTTAAAGTGATTCTCCTGTCTCAGCCTCCTGAGTACCTGGGATTACAAGCATGCACTACCACGCCCAGCTAATTTTTGTATTTTTAGTAGAAACGGGATTTCACCATGTTGGCCAGGCTGGTCTTGAACTCCTGACCTCAGGTGATCCGCCTGCCTCAGCCTTCCAGAGTGGTGGGATTATAGGCATGAGCCACCGCACCTGGTGACAACTTATTGTTACTTCTAATGGTTTGGGAGAATTCAAATTATATTAGTAAGTATTTTAGAAATAAAAAGCCATATAGTCATGTTAATATGCTCATAAAATCAGAAGAAATATAAAGTTGATAATCAAGAAAGGGTATATAAGTATTGGTAGATGTAAGTGTTGGTAATATAAGTATTGGCAAAGTATTGGTAAGTATTGGTAAAACTAATTTCTAACTTCAATGTTAAGAAAAGCAACAGTCTTTGAAATGAGTTGGTTATCGGGTACATTGTAGATTCTGGTTTTACTTATTCAAATTTTTTTTTTTACTTGAATCAGCTTTCTCTTCCTATCCCCCATCTCTAATTATGTCTAAATGTTCTTTTCTGTTCATGGAGTTATTAAACAAATAAACAAACTCTCTGGGAGCCCTTGACCCTAGGGGATAAAGAAGACTGAGTTCTTCTTTCTTCCTGAAAAGTACTAGAAAGTTCCTAAAGGAGCTATGTCTGTACTACTAATAGGCTAGGGCCGCATGTGACTGTCAAAAAGGGTCTCTATAAGAGGAGTCCCAGGAACGCCCTGAAGTATCAATTAAAATGCAGCTGTTTGGTACCACTTGTTCCTGCGGAAACTTAGCAGTGGAGGGTGTTTCTTACCCCAGTAAGCTGCTTCTTTGCGCTAATGCAGCGATTGCTGTGCCTGAGGGCAGCCCTCCCTCCCAGTCGCCAGTTCCGTCTTTGCACTGCATGTTCTCTCTGATCCTTCTCTGATCCTTCCCTCCTTCACAGCTGATGACTGAATTCATCTTTGACGTGTGGTCCCTCAACTCAATGTAATCTTGCATGAAAGTTCAATATCTGCCATCTGGCCAGGTGTCCACTTATCCCACTACCCTTGAACTCCCAGCTCCTTCTCCCTAACTCCTCTGCTGAGTGCCTTGCTGTGGCCCCAGATGTTGCACCATACACATCTGCACACCTATCCAATGAAGCAGATTAAGTCCCACCCACTTCCACTGGACAGAACAGTAGTCTCTTACATCAGACTTAGCTAGATTCCTGTATCACTACTCGGTTATATTATATTATTTGAAAACATTTCTGGCCAGGTGTGGTGGCTCACGCCAGTAATCCCAGCACTTTGGGAGGCCGAGGTGGGCGGATCACTTGAGGTCAGGAGTTCAAGACCAGGCTGGCCAACATGGTGAAACACTGTCTCTACTAAAAATACAAAAATTAGCTGAGCATGGTGGTGCAGCCTATAATCCCAGCTACTCAGGAGGCTACTCAGGAGGTTGTGGCATGAGAATCACTTGAGTTCGGGAGGTGGAGCTTGCAGTGAGCCGAGATGGCGCCACTGCACTCCAGCCGGGGCAACAGAGCGAGACTCTACCATGAAAAAAAAAAAAAAGAAAGAAAAGAAAAGAAAAAAGAAACATTTCTTATTGAAACATTCCTCACTTGCATTCAGTGAATGACATTTATTTGATGCCTACTATATAGCTGGAATTCTGCTGAGCATAGTAGTTAAAGAAATTGCTCAGATATACACTTGCCCTTGAGGAGTAAGCAAGGCAGTGACTATCTAAAAAGTGAGGCAGAAGTGTAAATAAATGGATAAAAGAGAATGTCCTATGGTGGAAATGCAGTGAAAACAGGAGGTAATTCCTCCTTAATGGCAAGGTTAAGGATGGAGGGGATGCCAAGGAGGCTCTCAAGAATACAGATATCTTCCTGGCTTACATCAACAGTTTATACAAATTGCTGCATTTTAGACTCTTGTGGGGAGCTTTAAAACTCTTGATGTCCAAGCTGCATCCCAAAGCAGTTAAATCAGAATCTCTCGGGGTGGGGTGGGGGAGGGCTGGGGTAGAACCCAGGCATTTTTTTTTTTTTTTTGAGACGGAGTCCCGCTCTGTCGCCCAGGCTGGAGTGCAGTGACACAATCTCGGCTCACTGCAAGGTCTGTCTCCCGGGTTCAAGCCATTCTCTTGCCTCAGCCGCCGGAGTAGCTGGGACTACAGGCACCCGCCACCAGGCCCGACTAATTTGTTTTTTTTTTTGTATTTTTAGTAGAGACGGGGTTTCACCACGTTAGCCAGGATGGTCTCGATCTCCTGACCTTGTGATCTGCCCACTTCGGCCTCCCAAAGTGCTGGGATTACAGGCGTGAGCGACTGCGCCCGGCCAATATATTTTTTTAATTCCCTAAATTAAAAATTATTCCATCGAGCAGCAAAGCCTGAGAACCAGTGAACTAGATCATTGCGTCCTTGATAAAATAATCTTACACTAATCTTAGTTCAAGAGCCTGGCAAGCACCATGCCTACTACATGTTCTTATGTGATTTTGGCATTGAATTTAAAAAACTGAATGAAGGAATCATTCTGGTAAACTAAAATGGACAAAAAAACTGGGTTTTATGTTATCTCAAAAATTGTCTACATCATATATTATATTAACCAACAATCTTTTAGACTTTAATAGTAGAAGCTGTAGTTATGAATAGATTTATGTATACCATGAAAAAAATGTACGGTAGTTATTCTTTCCTCAATTGTCATTTTAAACAGAGCCATTTATTTATTAATACACTTAGCTGGATGCTATAAGTGAATACAATTAGTAAAAGTGATAAAACTAAGTTTATGCACAACTGTGAAAAATGTGTGGTAGTTGTTTTAAAAACTTGTTTTCATAGGTCAAGAGCTTACAATGCATTCTCCATGAAACAGACTATTCATTAGTTTGAGAAGATAAAACAACACATTTATGGAACACTCACATGGTGAGCTAATCAGTTAACAGTCTTACTACATAAAAATTACAAGAATTTTCATTAACAAAATAATAGAAAATTAAAATGTAACATTAATATAAGCACTTATCATTACATTAAGTAGTTCTATATACACACACAGACATCCACACTTATGTACACACAAATGCATACATTTACCTCACTGCTATTTATAATTATTTAACAGTAGGTTAGCATATTTATTGATATATTTTTTGAGACAGAATCTCAACTGCTGCCCAGGTTGGAGTGCTGTGGCGCAATCTCGGCTCACTGCAACCTCTGCCTCCCAGGTTCAAGTGATTCTCGTGCCTCAGCCTCCTGAGTTAGCTGGTATTACGGGCGGGTGCCACCACGTATGGCTAATTTTTGTTTTTGTAGTAGAGACAGGGTTTTACCATGTTGGCCAGGCTGGTCTCGAACTCCTGACCTCAAGTGATCCGCCCACCTTGGGATACCAAACTGCTGAGACTGCAGGAGGGAGCCACAATACCCGGCCAGCAAATTTAAATAATGAGAAGCAAATAGTCCTCTAATAGTAACTATTGCATTTAGCATGTTTCATTCTAACTCTAAACTCACAAGACATAGACATGTAAGTTTAGTACCCTAGAAAACACAGCTACATAATTTGAATTATTCACAACACTTCATCACAACAAAGAAATTACTAAATTTGCCATGTATGTGTATACTACACATGGAGTAGTTTCACAAAGCACCATTGTTACTTACGTTATTTCATGTTTTAAATTCTGCCTTCATAGCATGGACTTTCAGCTATGCCTCATTTAAAACTTACTGGCTCGGGGGCTCATGCCTTTAATCCTAGCACTTTAGGAAAATATAAAAATTAACCAGGTGTGGTGACGCATGCCTGTAGTCCCAGCTACTTGGGAGGCTGAGGCAGGAGAATCGCTTGAACCCGGGAGGCGGAAGTTGCAGTGAACCGAGATCGCACCATTGCACTCCAGCCTGGGCAACAAGAGCGAAACTCCGTCTCAAAAAACAAACAAACAAAAACCTACTGGCAATAAGGGAGGGTCAGTATTTACGAAGTGACTCATTTAAAATACGGAATAACTTAAACTAGTACAAGAGTAGGCATGCTGTCGGAGTACAGATGCCAGCGAATTAAGGCTCTGTGCTGCCTTCCATGTTCCAAAGGTAGCTTGAGCGCTAGTGTGTCAAATCAATTGAGCATTCAGGGCTCTGGGCCAGTTACTAGTATTAGCCTATGAGGGCTCTTGGATAGCTTTATTTTGGGCTTTGTGTGGTCAGGAGGTGCCCCAGCCACAAACACTTTGAGAAACAGGCCCTATTCTTAGGTGATGCTTAGATGAAGTGATAATGTATTATTAATAGTTTTGATATTAACATATGTGAGATTTTGTATGTGTGTGTATGCATAAACATAGTTCAGACTGATATAATACTGACTTCTTTCTGAGGCCATGGAATTATAAATAAAGAGGCCCACATGAAACAAACCCATCTCATTTATTCTATTTCCCACTGAATAAATGGCACTTAGTCCAAATGCATTTATTTTTAATATATCTGATGCTTAACCCATGACCAAATGGACTCAGGAAATAAACTGTCTTCCTTGGGTAAGAAGAAGAGATCCTATGTTTTAAAGGATTTTACATTGTTTTTGCTGTAATTTCATATATGAAGGAAATCTAAAAACTATTCATGATTTAGATTCATTCATGATTCACAAATTGCATTCTGTGAATCAATAAAATAATTGAAGATATCAAAATATATTCACTCATGTTAAAAAATACGGCTGATGGTTGAGCACAGTGGCTCATGCCTGTAATCCCAATGCTTTGGAAGGCCAAGGCAGGAGGACTGCTTGAGACCAGGAGTTTGAGACCAGCCTGGACAACATAGTGAGACCCTCATCTCTACAAAAATATATATATATTTTTAAATATGGCTTAGTGTGGAAGAACACATTTTTGGATTTGCAAATCAGTTAATGAAAGCCACTGATCATTTACCTTCCAAAGAAGAATCAGACATTTCTAAGACATCTACACTATGGTACACTTCACTGGCTACTATTTTAGTTTAAAAAATTAACATAAATTTCATTTTATTAGCTGATGTTTTTAGTATAAGAACCAGTTGCACTAAAAATCAGTAGCACTTATAATGAACTCTAAGCATTGTAAATGGTGACTTGACATAATTTAGCATTGAGATGAATTCAGGGAAACATTTTTCTTTTGCTGTTTGTTTGTAGCATCTCAGATCTCCCCTCCCAACTCCTCTCTGTCCACCAGTTCCCTCTTGCCCAAGTGCTGCTATTCTCTTGGTCACTCATAATCATTTAGCCTGTGAAATTTATTCTCTATTTACAACTGGCTGCTACATCACTACTTCTGAACCTCTTGCCAAATATTATTACAAACCAATGAATTTACAAAATCTGTTCAAACACAAAGATGGGCAAGAGAGACTGTATTGTCTTACAATTGCCTCTGTGTTCCTTAAGATTTAGTGTATTTTCTTCCCTGGGCACAAATTTGGTATTTACTTCACTATTTCAAGTAATTACTTACTTGGTTTTGTCATTCAAATTTTTAAATGGAAAGAAAATGTCTAAGGCCCTTAGTTTAAAAAAAAAAAGATTAAGAGTGTCAGAATTATTCTGATCCAATGACTTTCGCTAAGCAAATCTTTTTAAAACAGCTCAAATAGTATGAGCATTTTACAAATGAGCTTTAAACATCCTTAATCTAAATTGTTCTTAACTTCTGAATACCTAGAAAACTACTATTTGCAGCTTAAATATAAACATTCATGCCAGACTAATGCAGAAAAATCTAGGGCAAATCCATGATTAATATTTTTTTCCAGTTTGCAATATCCAGCTCTATTTAAGAAAGGGCCTTAATGAATGCTGCTGTAATAATTTAAATAGAAAATTGATTTCATTTTTGCATTCTCACTGTCATTTCAATCAGAATTGTCACTATCACTCACATCTTCTATTCATCATTTTGATTTCTATCTACACTCATTTCACAAATGAAAAATACATCATTAAACTCATCACATTTTCCAAAACTATAAGCAAGCACATGAAATCCTCTCTTCTTTGTAAAGAACTGCCAACATGAGAGGGCAGACTCTAGCTAGTAAAGCAAAGGATGGATGGTTCAAATTTATCCTTGTAAGTTATGGCTGCATTTAAATTTAATTGTCTATAAACTAAAGGGTGCTTTTCTCCCTCTGGATAACCTTAAATATTTCACCATGGCTTATTCAAACTACTGTGAAAACTTAAACATATATTCCTCATGATTACATCCATTTTGGTCTTTAGAAGAAAAACTAGCAGAGCTTAAATGTATTATAACCCCTTCTTGGACACACGATGTTAAAAAACTCAGTTTGTTGGAAAAAACATATTACTATTCTATACACACACAAACTCCATATAGTAATTCCATATATTTACATTATAAGCATATTATATATGTGTGTATGTGTATAACGTACATATATATAATGTATGTATTATATGTATTTATAGTGTATATTTATAGTTTTGTCAACCAAATACTTACTGTTTAAGGAATATGGTTTAAGCACAAAATATTATATGGTTCAAATTGTTAAAAAATCACAGCTTACTTAATAAAAGATTAAGAAAACCTAAGCAAATTGATCATAAATATTAGGGGCAAGTAAGCATGAATAGAATTTTAATTTAACATCTTTATTTTGACTCAGTATTATTGTTTTCAAATCATAGGAGGTTTGACGCAATGGAATATCAAACTAAGAAACACTTAGTGAGATTACTTATAAAGATGTAACTCACTTTTTATTCGATGTCCCCAGTTAATGCTTATTATCCTCAACCTGATAGTTTTCTTTGAGTAAGAATTATTTAGTGCTAGAATATTAATACTTGTATGATCAATTACAATTTTATTTTATTTTGTTTTTTTGAGACAAGCTCTGGCTCTATCACCCAGGCTAGAGTGTAGTGGGGCAATCTCTGCTGACTGCAACCTCTGCCTCCCAGGCTCAAGCCATCCTCCAAACTCAGCCTCCCAAGTAGCTGGGACTACAGGCTCAGACAACCATGCCCGGCTAATTTTTGTATTTTTTGTAGAGATGGGGTTTTGCCATGGTGCCCAGGCTGGTCTCGAACTTGTGAGCTTCAGTGATTCGCCCGCCTCGGCCTCCCAAAGTGCTGGGATTAGTGGCGTGAGCCACTGCACCCAGCCTTACAATTTGATTTTGATGACACTAGTCAACAGTAAACACAACAATGGCTATTGGTCTATACCATCATGATAAAGCAGATTAAAGAATATTTGGCTTTTGTTTGCTTTGTTAAACTGTTTCTAATAAAGTGAGCAAGTTTTGTTTTAAGTCACCCATTCCAATGAATTTGCTACGTAGGCTGCTGGTCAGCACAAACCATGATGGGGCAGGTGAACACCTTACTCCAAGAGCTATTAGGTGAGACACACCTAACAACATCACTGGGTTTTTCTCCCATGCTCTAAAGTCTTTCTAACACTAACCAGAAGTACTACATCTGTTACACAATAAATAGTCCTCTGTCCTATAACACTGTGAGTCAGATGAACTGATCAGAAAAAAAAAAAAAATCAATGTTTACAGAGTTATAACTTCAGACTAAACAACAACAAAAAGAAGGCATTTCAGTTGGACCATAGAGCCTTGAAAAATGTAAATGATTTACCTTCAACCCTGACCATTCCAGCAAATAACCCCAATCAACTCTTGCTCCTCAAATTTTCCTTCCTCTTCTATTTTCTGTTGATTCTATTACCAGCATCGAAACCTTGGAGTCATGGCTCATGCCTTCCTGATACAGTCACATCCAAGAAGCTCTAAAGCCCAATGGCTCAACTGTGTTCCCTCCTCTCCATTTCTGCTGTTACCTAAGTTGAGTGCTTATAAAGTGATCAGAGGAGCAATTTAGAATTCATCAAATTAGGAATGACTCTTGATGACGAAATTACAGATGAGGCAGTGGGAATTCACAGGAGAGTGGGAATTCACAGGACAGTGGGAGTCAAGGGAGACCAAGGACAAGGAGATGAGTTCATGGCTTGTTGTTTAGATATTAGATGTGACGAGCTGAAAGTCTCAATGGAAGCGATGGAAAGTAGAAATAGTATAAAAGAAACCAAGAAAGAAAAACTCCATTGGGCTAGGTACAGTGGCTCATGCCTATAATCCCAGCTCTTTGGGAGGCCGAAGTGGGTGGATCACCTGAGGTCAGGAGTTTCTGAGACCAGCCTGGCCAACATGGTGAAACTCCGTCTCTACTAAAAATACAAAAATTAGCTGGGTGTGGTGGCGCACACCTGTAATCCCAGCTACTTGGGAGGCTGAGGCATGAGAATCACTTAAACCCAGAGGCAGAGGTTGCAGTGAGCTGAGATCGCACCACTGTATTCCAGCCTGGGTGACAGAGTAAGACTGTCTCAAAAAGAAAAAAGAAAAAATCCATTGGTTATTACAACAGATTTGTTTATGGGGTCAAAAAATCTATGAAGTTTGGCTGGGCATAGTGGCTCATGCGTATAATCCCAGCACTTCGGGAGGCTGAGGTGGGAGGATTGCTTCAGGCTAGGAGTTCAAGACCAGCCTGGGCAACATAGCACCACCCCATCTCTAAAAAGAAATTATGTTTAAAAAACAAAAAATTATGAGGATCAAAACTATAAGGATAAAGAAAAGGAAGAGTAAGGATAGTGTGAGTGTGAATAAGCACAACGGCTAGATTTCAAAGCAAATCCAGAATACGGGCTTTGCTGGTGACCTTGGAGAAGTTACTTAACCTTTCTGTGCCCCCGTTATAACTCAGATGTTTAAAAAAAAAGAAATGGGGTTAACAACCCTATATCCTATGGTTCTTTTGAGGATTAAATGAAAAACAAATATGCTTATGAAGTACTAAAATCACATTATTAGTGAATTTAAAAATCTTTTAGCCCTAAAATTTGATTTTCTGTGTAGGAGCTATTGTAACCCTGGATATTTTTAATCAACATATTTTATGCTACAATATACCTAAGGCGTCCTGCTTCAGGATGACCACATCCAATAAATATTCAACAAGCATCTGGGATTGCACTTTTAATAAACGTCTCTGTGTTGAAAGAGAATTCTTATCATTTGGAGGAGTCATTTTATTTATTTATTGGCCTTGGAATTACTTCAGACTGTTGATAATTCTGATTTTGGTAATAGTCTTGGGTGAGAAAATTGTTCAAGGACTAAGAGTGACCTGTCATGGTAACAACAGTCTGTGAATTCTATAAAATATAATGCATGGACCTTGGTTTGGAGAAGAGCAATTTACTTTAGGGTGTATTCATCCATAATTCTCTTCTCTTGAGCAACTTTCATTTTTATGTGAATTCTTTACAAAGTCAAAAACAACTGATGCATTGTCTTAGCTACATACAATTCATTTACCAGCACCTAAACTATGGAACTGCAGTGACTTAAAGGGCTAGCTTAGGAAGACTAACTAGTTTGAGGTAAGTTTGCAAACTAAAACAACCCACTTTTTGATACTACATCAAAAACTGCTTTCCAAATTTTTAGTAGAACTTCTCTTTTAAGCAGACAGTATAATCATTTTATGAAGGTTTTTGTGTCCTCTAAAAAGAATTCTTGTGTTCCAAACTCTCCCAAGGTTATAAGACTGAAGTCAAAACTATGTGATGTATACTGGCCCCATGTACACTTTTCCATGTGAAATATCACTGATTCTTCAAAATGGAGGTTAAAATGTAAGTGACTGATCTTTCCTCAGAGAATTCCAGAAACAAATATGCTTTCCTACTCTCCAAAGACAGGAAGATGAGCAAAGTGAGAAATAAAATGTCAACTACTTCGATCAAGGATGACACCTGAGTGGGAGGCCCCAGCCCACACCTGGGCTCCAAGCGCCAGTTAGTCCTGCTTAGTCCTAGCTCTGCCCCTTTCTAGCTCTGTGACCCTGAGGAACTCCCTCCACCAAGACCACTCTGACCCTCTGTGTGTGTGTATTTGTTCTCTCTGTAAAAGAGGAACAATAACCTCTTGCCAGGTGCTCTCTGACTTCATCTCCAGCTGCTGTCCCCTGGGTTCAGCTCACTCCAGACTCACGGGCCTTCCTGCTGCCCGGTCCTCCCACCCAACCTCCCCTGAGCCTGAAGGGCCTCTGTACTTCTTTCCTCCCCCTGAAATGCTGGGCCCAGGCTGGCCACATCGCTCACTCCCTCAGAGAGGCCAGGCTTGATCCAAATCCCACCTGCCCCGTGAGGCGTGGCCTCATCTAAAGTCAGAAATTGGCTCCATCTCCTCGACTCCCTCCCACAATTCCAATTTCCCATTCTGCCTTACATTTCTCCTTAGCACTTATGGCCAATACACTATTTAACGACTGTGTGTTCTCTTCCTTCCTTAATTAAATGCAGCCCCACGAGTCAGAGATTTTGGCCAATTTTGTTCACTTCATATTTTTAGGATCCAGTATAGTGTCTGGCATGTAGTAATGCTTAAAAAAATCTGTGGAATAAATAAATGAATGACTCTTCTCCACAAGGTTGTCAAATGAATGAGATGTCATCGGTTAAATCGCTAAGCTGTAAAACATATGATTCACTATTTATTTTTAAATTGTTAATTTATTATTATTCTTTGGAGACAGGGTCTCACTCCATTGCCCAGGCTGGAGTGCAATGGTGCAATCACGGCCCACTGCAGCCCCGACCTCCCAGGCTCAGGTGATTCTCCCACCTCTCAGCTTCAGACTACAGGTGCAAAACCACACCCAGCTAATTTTTATATTTCTTGTAAAGCTGGGGTTTCACTATGTTGCCTAGGTTGGTCAAAATTTCTGAGGCTCAAGCGATCCGCCTGCCTTGGCCTCCCAAAGTGCAGGGATTACAGGCATGAGCCACTGCACCCAGCCTTTTAATTTATTTTAACATTCTGTTCATGAAATAAAATGTAGATGACAAACTATCGGAGTCAAGGTAAAAATAATTAAATAGAAATTAGTTATAAGAACTATAATGCAGAACCTCCACAAGGCTAAGGGAAAAAAAAAAACAACTACTACAAAATACTTGGTATCATTAGAAGTAAAAAAAAAAAAAAATCAGAAAACAGTCAAAAGCTTAAAAATGAACCAAAGGTGGCCGGGCACGGTGGGTCACGCCTGTAATCCCAGCACTTTGGGAGGCCGAGGCGGGCAGATCATGAGGTCAGAAGTTCAACTCCAGCCTGGCCAACATAGTAAAAACCCATCTCTACTAAAAATACAAAAACTAGCCGGGCCTGGTGGCGCATGCCTGCAGTCCCAGCTACTCAGGAGGCTGAGGCAGGAGAATCATTTGAACCCGGGAGGCGGAGGTTGCAGTGAGCCGAGATCGCGCTTTAAAAAAAAAAAAAAGTACTGAAGGTTTGTGGATTAAACCAGAGCTGTGACCTCTGGACCAAAGTAATAAAAGTCCAGCCCATAGCCTGGTAGAAGATAGCTAGATGGAAGAAAAAGAAAAGCTGCATAAGAGAATAACAACAGGCCCAGAGAGGCCTGGAGACAGAGGAAAACACAGAGGATTAGATTTTCAGAAGCTGTGGACTTAAGCAATAAAAAGTCTATCAAAGTGTACCTTGTTGATGTATGGCACGTGGCTAATAATTCCTAGGTTAGCCCTTTAAGACACATTGAAAGATGGGTCACTCCCTAAGTATGACATGATGAAATGAAACTGTGTAGACCATCAAGCACCAGGGGAAAATAACCTGTGTGAGGCTTGAGCTTTTCTAAGAGAGAAAACAAGATAAAAAAATAAAAACAAAGCCCACAACACAAATAAACAGGATTTACTCTACAAAACAAAGCTCACATTTGCATATACTAAGGCTTGTTCTCTGCTTAATCGAAGGTAGGAGGAGCCAGGGTGATTGGCTCTCTCCCTGAGAACTTGAACTTTGCTTCAGAGGGCAGTTTCTAGCAAGGATGAGCACTGTTTCTGATCTGAAACCGGGATAAAACATAACTGAGTATCCACAGCTCAGAGCAAGACCGACAAGCAAGACGCATAGTTACAGTGAGTGTATGATAGAGCTAATCTGCATTTTAAATTCGCACATAACAGTCTTCGAAGGTATGCAAAAACCGTTTTCACCAACAGGAAAATCCAAAATAAGTACATTCGAGGATTTTTTTTTCCACAAAATAAAATAGTTACAAAGGTTGAATAAAAAATTATCTAAGTGAAAATCACTTCATACTGGGAATATAAATCTCTGGTTCTTTGGTAAATAAAATTAACAAGAATTATTCAACTAGAACTATCAGCATATAGGTTTCTAGGTTTCTAGATGAACAGTTTACTAACTGGGTCACGTATAAAGGTCAAACCAGTTTCTTCGTTACGACTGGTTAAAACTGATCGAATAAAAAACAAATCTGCTATCAGCTGATAAATACTAACTTTAACAAAGGCTCAGTACATGTAGACATGGTCCATGTGTGTTTTAATTTTTAAAAGGAGTGAGGAGGGAATAGGAGAAAGCAATATAGCTCTCATCAGCACTTTCTTCCCATCAGGCGCTTTACATACAGTCGCTCCTTTTAATCTCATATCCACCCTGGGAAGGAGAATTAGGACATTACAGTTAAGCCACCTGCCCAAGGCCACATTAACAAGTGACAATGGCTGGTTCTGCTGGATCCAGCCTGGGCCTCCTTCCACCACCAATCTCAGAGGCATGGCCCAAAGAGACAGCTCAGTCTTCAGGAACAATCAACTGAATTTAATATTTACTCAGGGCCAGGTGTGGTGGCTCATGATTGTAATCCCAGCACTTTGGGAGGTCGGGGGAGGGCGGGGGGGCGGGAGGGGTGCGGGGCGGCGGGTCACCTGAGGTCAGGACTTCAAGACCAGCCTGGCTAACACGGTGAAACCCTGTTTCTACTAAAAATACAAAAAATTAGCCAGGCGTGGTGGTGGGTGCCTGTAATCCCAGCTACTTGGGAGGCTGAGGCAGGAGAATCGCTTGAACCCGGGAGGTGGAGGTTGCAGTGAGCCGAGATTGTACCTCTGCACTCCAGCCTGGGTGAAGTGAAACTCCGTCTCAAAAGAAAAAAAAAAAAATTTACTCAGATAAACCAAACAGGAAGTACAAGGCAGGACTCAAGACAAGTTATAATAGAAGAGCAAAGATCAGTAAGAAATAAATATAAATAATAGTTACATAATTTACAGAAAATAGTCATTAAACTGCATTCAAGCCAAGATATAAATTACTTAGAAGATTCTATTCACAAAATATTTTAACTTCTCCTTGAAGGTTAGTATTGTCTTATTTAGTGTAAATTTAAAGTATCATGTACGCAACACCACAGAAAAGATACTGTCTGGAAGCTAAGACATTACTAATTAAATGCAAAGAGTTGATATGAAAAGGAAGTAAAATAACCTAGAAGATGGGGCACGGTGGCAAGGCTGAGGCAGTCAGATTGATTCTACGAGTCCTGAAGTTTGAGGTTACAGTGAACTATGATCCCACAGCGCCACTGAACTCCAGCCTGGATGACAGAGTGAGATCCTGTCTCTAATTAAAACAAAACAAAACAAAACAAAACAAAAACCTAGAAGAGAGTAACAGCACCATACTCAGCTTTCTCAGCTTTTTACTTATTTATTTTTTTTGGAGACGGAGTCTTGATGTGTCGCCCAGGCTGGAGTGCAGTGGCGTGATCTCGGCTCACTGCAACCTCCACCTCCTGGGTTCAAGCAATTCTAGTGCCTTAGCCTCCCAAGAAGCTGGACTGTCATGCACCATCACACCGAGCTAATTTTTGTATTTTCAGTAGAGATGGGGTTTCACCATGTTGGCCTGGCTGGTCTCGAATTCCTGTCCTCAAGCAATCTGCCCACCTCGGTCTCCTCAAGTGTTGGGATTACTGGCATGAGCCACTGTGCCGGTCCATACTTAGCTTTTTTTAGTGATACATTTATACTGATTAGTTTAATTCTAACTTGATGGGAAAAAAATTAGTAGTTGGGAATGAATGTATAAAAATACTTCATTCAATAGTTACAATTATTCATTACATTTAAAATATCCTTACACCTGAAGGGAACTAGAAAAGCATGCCTATATATTCTAAATTTCTTTTTCTCCTCCACACTCTCCAAATTCCCCTGCCAAAACAGAATATTGATATTACAATGGAAAATTATAAAGACGATATACTATGAAAGTTCTTAATATTCATTCATTCTGAGTTTCTTAAAATGTATAGAAAGATGGCCCAAACACCTCTGTGTTCTGCAGCAGGCAGGTCTATGCAACCCACCCGCCAAGTTCGAGGAAGCTGAGCTGACCCATCCAGTCTCTCGAAAAGAAACATTTAATAGGGACTTACGGACAGAAGCCATGTCTCAGGCAGCAGTGAGGCCAGATAGTGGATTCCTGTGCTGCTACCCACCACACCCAGGGCTTATATACCCTAGGAAAGGAATGTGTAGGACAACTGAAGTCCATCCCTAGGGAAAGGCAAGAATGCTACATCAACCTATGTAAGGGCAGGGTTTATGGTCAAGGTTGTTTTGACCTAAGGCCAGGATTTATAGCAACAGTAGATAAAGTAAAAATCTTAAGCTGGGCGTGGTGGCTCATGCCTGTAATCCCAGCACTTTGGGAGGCCGAGGCAGGCAGATCACCCGAGGTCGGGAGTTCAAGACCATCCTTACCAACATGGAGAAACCCCCGTCTCTACTACAAATACAAAATTAGCCGGGCGTGATGGCACATGTCTGTAATCCCAGCTACTCAGGAGGCTGAGGTGGGAGAATTGCTTGAACCTGGGAGGTGGAGGTTGCAGTGAGCCAAGATCACGCCATTGCACTCCAGCCTGGGCAACAAGAGCGAAACTAACTCAGTCTCAATAAAAAAAAAAAAAAAAAGTAAAAAAGTAGAGGCATTCCCAGGAGTTAATTATTAGTTAACATGATTAGCATCCAAGATGGATTTGCCTGGAAATGGAAGTGGGATGGGGCGGAGAATTATCTTCATTTGTATCACTTGAGGAATAGCTGAGTGAAAACTTGCTGTAGGCAGCTGGGTACTCAGGTTAGACTTTGAAGACTCACTTAGGGGCTAGATTTAGAGAACTGCCGCTTAATGGCTCATAGTCAGAAGTCAAAGCCACATTGAAATTAAACAGACTGCCATAAAACAGTGTGGCCTAGTTGAAAGACAAAGAATCTGAAGTGAGAAGTTCCGGGTTAAAGTCCGAGACCCACCATTACCAGCCATTTCCTTGGGTGAATATTTAAATCTCCAGTCTCAGTTTCCTCGTCTGCAGAATGAAGAACACAGTCTGCCTCCCTGGGAGCAGAAATACATCTACCACTTAGGGTTGCTGTGAGAATGCAGTGAGAAAAGCACTGGAAAGCGTCTTATGAAGTCCAAGTCATGCATGAGGGATCGCTATTAGCAGCATGTTTAATGGAATATATGTTCTCAATTCAAATGACAGAGACTCGCATCCTAAAATTTAAAGAAAAGTAAGTTAAAAAGTATAAGCCTGGCGCAGTGGCTCACGCCCATAATCCTGGTACTTTGGGAAGCCGAGGTGGGTGGAATGCCTGAGCTCAGGAATTTGAGACCAGCCTGTGCAACATGGTGAAACCCTGTCTCTACTAAAATACAAATAATTAGCAGGGCATGGCCGCGTGTGCCTGTGGTCCCAGTTACTTGGTAGCCTGAGGCAGGAGAATTGCTTGAACCCGGGAGGCGGAGATTGCAGTAAACCAAGATCACACCACTGCACTCCGGCCTGGGTAACAGAGCAAGACTCCATCTCCAAAAAAAAAAAAAAAAAAAAATGTACAGGCCAGGCGTGGTGGTTCACGCCTGTAATCCCAGCACTTTGGGAAACCGAGGTGGGTGGATCACCTGAGGTCAGTAGTTTCAGAGCAGCCTGGCCAAACCCCATCTCTACTAAACATACAAAAATTAGCTGGGGGTGGTGGTACATGCCTGTAATCCCAGCTACTCGGGAGGCTGAGGCAGGAGAATCTCTTGTGTAACCGTCAAGGGGTTCACCTTGCTCGCTGCCTAGACAGAGCCGATTCATCACAACAGGGGAATTGCGGAATTGCAATAGAGAAAGAGTAATTCACGCAGAGCCGGCTGTGCGGGAGACCTGAGTTTTATAATTACTCAAATCAGTCTCCCCAAGCATTCAGGGAGCAGAGTGTTTAAGGATAACTTGGTGGGTGGGGGGAAGCCAGTGAGCCAGGAGTGCTGATTGGCCAGAGATGAAATCATAGGACCCGGAGCTGTCTTCCTGCATTCAGTCAGTTCCTAGGTGGGAGCACAAGATCAGATAAGCCAGTTAATCCATCTGGGTGGGGCCAGCTGATCCATCAAGTGCAGGGTCTGCAAATATCTCAAGCACTGATCTTAGAGGCAGTTTAGGGAGGGTCAGAATCTTGTAGGCTCCAGCTGCATGACTCCTAAACCGTAATTTCTAATCTTGTCGCTAATGGTAGTCCTACAAAGGCAATCTAGTCCCCAGGCAAGAAGGAGGTCTGCTTTGGGAAAGGGATGTTACAATCTTGATAAACTGTCTAAGTCATAATTTTGCAAAGGTGGTTTCACTTGAACCCAGGAGGCAGAGGCTGCAGTGAGCCGAGATTGTGCCACTGCACTCCAGTCTGGGCAACACAGCCAGACTCTGACTCCAAAAAAAAAAAAAAAAAATGTAACAAAACTTACTTTATCTACATTTGGCCACAGTGTTGTAAACCTTCTAACATTCTTTACAACAGCACCTAAGGCAACGACAGGTTCTTAGCGTCAACCACATCTTCACTTTGGCCTACAGCAAAATATATTTCCCCTATTTACCCAAATGGAAGAAGTTTCCCCTGAATTGTGTTTTTAAGGTATCTCCCCCCAACTCCTCTCTCCAGATAGCACAAATCCAAGTATGTCCCTAGACTCCCAAGAGCTGCTTTTATGGACTATAAAACTAGCAACCTAGCTTTCCACAAACATCTTTACTGCTATTAGTGAAAATATGCACTTATGATATATGCACGCACACAAGCATATTCCTGTCACCTTACAGAGCTAAGTCTACATCACGGAGACGTGAGCACACATCTCATAGTGCACATCGTTACACATCCCCCCAGGGGCTGACAGGCAGGGGCTTGGTTTTATCTTTGCTTCATCTCTTGCACTTTAAGAGTCCCTTGGGTAGTATCTTTTTTGTGCTCAGGTTTGATATTTCTTACTCAGTCTTTATGATGTCTGACTGAAAGCTCAATGGCTCAAGATGTCCTCGAGGGTGCTAATGTTTTTATCTCTGTGTCCTAGCACCCTGCCCACTCTGTTCCCTACAAATGTTGAGTGAATTAACTTCCGTCTGAATTAATAAGAAATGTAAACCACTTGTGATAAAAAATAATCTATCTCTTCCACACAAAAGGTCAGTGTAAATCTGGATTCTGAACACAGACTAGATTGAACAAAGATTTCTTATCTGTATCGGAAGCAAAACTGAGTATGGTGTTTTGTACAAGGAACAAAGGAAATAGCTACACCTCTCCTACTGTAGACGTCACTGAAAAAGTCTGTTTCTCTCCCTGGGGGGATACTGTAAACTCAGTAGCCAGCACTCAATACTGTTGCCAGAAGCAGGAACTGGAAGTCATCATTCTAAGTCGCCTTTAATAAAGCAGAAAAGATGCAATAATGTCTTGGCAATGTCAGTTCCCAAACACTGACAACCTAAACTACATCTTCTGGCCCTAGGTGCTTATCGGCTGTACTGACGTGCTTCACATTTTATAATGTTGGTAAAATGAGGGAAGGCCTGTGGCTCTCAAATTCTTGTATCTGCTTAGCTAATTCCAACCCATTATTGTAAGCAGCAACAACAGAGGAAGGACAGTCTCTCAAGACTGAGCACTCATGTTTTACCCAGTTACAATGCTATTGTTCTCTGGGTGAATCAGTTTTAAAGTAAATACATTTATGGCTGGGCGCGGTGGCTCACGCCTATAATCCCAGCACTTTGGGAGGCCAAGGTGGGTGGGTCAGTTGAGGTCAGGAGTTCGAGACCAGCATGGCTGACATAGTGAAACCCTGTCTCTACTATAAATACAAAAAAAAGTTAGCAGGGCATGGTGGCAGGGGCCTGTAATCCCAGCTACTTGGGGAGCTGAGACAGGAGAATTGTTTGAACCCAGGAGGTGGAGGTTGCAGTGAGCCAAGATCGCACCACTGCACTCAAGCCTGGGTGACACAGTGAGACTCCGTCTCAAAAAAAGACAAAAAATCCATCTTCAATAGAGGCAATGTGGTGCATTACAAAGGGGATGAGTGAAAACAGGCTGGCTTCAAATGCGGGTTTTACACTTTACCAACTCAGTGATCTTGCCCAAAATACTTTGTCTGAGCATGTATTTTCTATCTTATAAAAAGAGATATATGCCGAGCACACACCTGTAATCCCAACACTTTGGGAGGCCGAGGCGGGCGGATCACCTGAGGTCAGGAGTTCGAGATCAGCCTGGCCAACATGGTAAAACCCCATCTCCACTAAAAATACAAAAATTAGCCAAACACAGTGGCACACATCTGTAATCCCAGTTACTTGGGAGGCTGAGGCTGGAGAATCACTTGAACCCAGGAGGCAGAGGTTGCAGTGAGCCGAGATTGCACCAATGCACTCTGGACTGGGTGACAGAGCCAGACTCCATCTCAAAAAAAAAAAAAAAAAAGAGATATGAAGGAGGATTAATAAGACAAATGTACATAAAATATTTCACACAGGCCCACATCATGAAATCCCAGATGTTAGTCATACATCATCTGCCTAAGTCTTTGAATATTTGGGGCATGCAAAACAAACCAAAAAGGAGTTGCCTATTGAAGAAAAGGCAAATGTCTTGACATGATGTTCAGATCTTATGTGATTCTTCGCCATCTTACGCTAGCAGGTTGATGTCTTTGTCTTCCCCCACAGCTCTACTCCAGTTGAACCGGGGTAGGCGTACTCTCTAAGCTACTTCATGTCTCTCCACTTCCAGAAGCTTCTTCCTGCTGGTACCTCTGTCCCCATCTCTCAGGACTCCATCTGCCATGACCCTTTCATGATTCCACTGAGAAGTTACTTTTCTTTTTCCCTTCTTTGAACATCGAAAGCATGCTGTGCCTCTTTACGGTAGTTCTTTTACAACTTGGCACGGTGCTTTGCAATGTAATCACTTGATTACAAGTTTCATTTTCTTCATTAGACCGCACACTCCTTGAAGTTTATATGGCTTTATTTTTTGCACAGAGTAGTTATTCAATATACACTGACTGAATATATTTTAAAACTTCAGGGAGTAATTAAATCAGCCAAAGTAAATTTAGTCTACACATACATTTATAGAATGTACACCATCTCCAGCCTCAGACAACTGCACTCAAGTTGCCCCTTTCCCGAGCCACTTTCTGGCTAATTGCTAAACATGTTTCCACCAGATCTGCCCCTCCAGCTGCCTGCAGCTCCAGTAGAGGCTGTGTGGAGAAGAGCCATGCAGACTGCATCTGTAAGGTCCTGCCTGTGCACTTTCCGCTTCCCAAATGAGGACAGAGAGCACTCCTGCCAGCTACCAGGCAGGGCCCAATTTCTAAACTCTGCCTTGACCCCCTGCCTTCCCATCAGAGGAGAAGCATCCTTACCTAAGAACACTACTTCTTCAATGACCAGTCTTCCTTCCCCAGTTCTCTTCCTTCCCCAGTCCTCTTCCATCCCCAGTCCTCTTCCATCCCCAGTCCTCTTCCATCCCCAGTCCTCTTCCTGGGGGTATGAGAAAAAACTCTTAACAGGTGCTGGCTAAAGGGAAGCCCAGGGTCTCCAAGATCTATATCTCACCAGAGTCCTTCACAGCAGTGCCAGTCGGAGTTGGCTGTGTTCATGTTCCCCAAGCTATCACTTGCTCGGTCTTTCTGCAGCTCAGAGGGGATGGCTGGACTACCAATCCTAATGGGTTGGGACCTTTCTGCAAACTCCAGTCTCCCCATCTGCCCTGGTCCTGCCTTGTTAGACAGTTCTCAGTTTGAGTTCAGATAACTTTTAGAGTCCCTGGTTCCTATTATAATACTTAATATTTTGTCCAATGTCTTTCTTCATCATATATATGCATATATATGTACATATATACCTGAAAATACACACATATATAATGACCTCATGCAAGATCATCTGTCTCTCAGAGTACCCATTTCCTATATATGAATAGATGGTGTGTGTGTGTCTATATATATATAAATCAAATGACTGTTTTGTATTTATCCCACTCAATCATCCATATTCATAAATA
Organism: Homo sapiens; assembly: GCF_000001405.40. Taxonomy (NCBI): domain Eukaryota; kingdom Metazoa; phylum Chordata; class Mammalia; order Primates; family Hominidae; genus Homo; species Homo sapiens. The sequence goes on from NC_000006.12 coordinate 162,535,579, forward strand.
ATAATATTTCTCTAGCATTCCAGAATCAAAGTTAAAATATGGCATGAGGACCAGGCTCACTGCCTCATGCCTGTAATCCCAGCACTTTGGGAGGCCGAGGTGGGCAGATCTCTTGAGCTCAGGAGTTTGAGACCAGCCTGGCAACATGGAGAAACTCCCTTTTTACCAAAAATAGAAAAAATTAGCCGGGCACGGTGGTACATGCCTATAATCCCAGCTACTCAGGAGACTGAGTAGGAGGATTGCTTGAGCCTGGGAGGCAGAGGTTGCAATGAACCAAGATCGCACCACTGCACTCCAACCTGGGTGACAGAATGAGACCCTGTCTCAAAAAAAAAAAAAAAGAATTTGGTCTGAGCCTGGTCAGCACTGGTCTGATGTACTGAAAACCATCTCCTAAACTTCTCTCTCCAACAACAATTAAGTACCTTATTTACACATCAAACTATAGCAAAAACATCAATGACAAGTACAACATCTGACTGTTCCATGAAGATGGTAGGACTGTTCCCAAAGCTTTCTGCTTACAACTTAAGGCCAAACCAAAGAGCCGTGGTTCTCCTGCACTAAAATGGTTTCAGCCTATTTCCAGTCATGCTGCTTTACTAACAAACTATAATGAACTACTGTAAAACATGTGTGCTATACTTCACTCAGCAATGCCTTCACTATAAGATGTTGAAAATCTGTGTTTCTGGATGCATAAAAATGACAAGCAGAAGGTGTTATTTTCTATTCTAAGGGTCCAGAACAAAAGAATGTGCTTTCATTGTGACTAAGGAAGTATTCTGCACAGACCAATATAATCTTCTACTCACAATGTTTCCAGTTCCTTTGGGTACCTGGTGTCATTTTAGCTCTGAGTTATGTATTAAGGTCACCTGCTTTAAAAAAAATAAAGACAACACATGGAACTCAGTAGAGAAAGTGAAGTTTCTTGCTGCATCTCCTTCGAGCCATCTTCCCTGCTTGTCTGTAGGGATTCCACTGTGCTATCTCACCTACCTACCTACTCCTCTCATTGCCATCGATGCTGTGATACCGGCAAACTTCTTTATGGCTAGGCCTTGCTGTCAGTGAGTTTCCTTAATGATGAAGGTCTCTGCTACCTGAGCAGAAAAGCTCAAGCTCAGCTTGGTCCATGACATTCATATGTGGAGTGTCATGAGTTTACTTTTAAAGAACTGCAAGAAATATGAATAAACACATTTTTTTGAAGCCTATGTTCAATTACAGCACTTCAAAGATGCTGTAGGAAAAGCTGAAGTATAACACAGCATGCAAAGATGCATTGATTTCTTTCTCCAAATCACATGTAACATATGTAAGTCTATACATATATGCATACATATATATGTACACCAAAGTTTAAGAAATAGATGGTTGTTGACCAATTGTATGTTTTTAAAGAGTTTTCTAACAATTATATTAGATATTTTATAACTTTTAAAAATTTACTTCGAAAAGATTCTCATAAATCTCCCAGAGAAGGCTTAGAAGGCTGGCTTCAAACTCCAGTTGCCTGAACTAGGTACAGAGAAGGCTGAGATGACAGCAGTTTCTAGCCCTGGCTGCACATCACAGTCACCTGGGGAGCTTTCAAAACTATTAAACAGCAAAATATCTGACACACAGTAGCTAATCAATACACGGAAATTTCTCTGTTTTCCCTTCCACCCTATATCCAATCCCATATTTCCCAAAATGCCTACAGAGCATACTCTGCCATCTCACTAGCACCTCACTCCGTAGCCTAAAGCTTCCAACAAGTATCACCACATGTTCCCGCTTCTTTGCTCAGGCCCAGTGAGTTGCCAGGGGTTTCCGCATCACCTATATTTTATGCCTGTTTCTTCCTCGTGTTCCCTGTCACCTGGCATAATGGTCTTGAACTGTCTTCCCACTTTAGGCCCACAGTTTCCTCCCTGCAGCCTGGGGGATCTCTCCACAGTGCACGTGTGATCGCATCTTTCCCACTGCCACCTCCTCCAAGGCAATCTGCCGGCAGGGATCTCCCTGTCTCTGTACTTCTGTCTCCATGTTCCCCTTTCTGGGACCCTATATTGCAGGCAAACAGAATCAGACAGAATGTGTGAAATAGATGACTCCTGCAATCTTGTCCTGTCCCTATTTCTACATCAGCTTCCTGTAGATGTTTCCTCTTTCCCATCTCCTGTTCTCTCCACCAGCAGTGTCCATCTCCATGTCAACTGTTCCCTTCCCAAGGCCCTTGTCACTTATGTGTATGTGGGATGCTTTAATATTTATAGGAAGACTTGTGTTGGTGAAAACACAAGTCATCAGGTTCATTGTGGGATTTATTCAAGGGCTTGCCTTCTCTCTTAAGTCTACATTTGTGGATTCTCTTCTTAAACTACATTACCCCAAACACCCAGTGGACAGCTACGACATTATTGTTTTGTTTTGATACTGGTATAAATATAGTCATCTTCTCAACTGAATATATCTCTTCCATAAAAATTCATGTAAGAGCAAAATATAATTTCAAAAGTCAAAGTTGGAAATACCCAAATACCTCGGCGGGTGCGGTGGCTCACGCCTGTAATCCCAGCACTTTGAGAGGCCAAGGCGGGTGGATCACTTGAGGTCAGGAGTTTCAGACCAGCCTGGCCAACATGGTGAAAACCTGCTCTACCAAAAATACAAAAATTAGCTGACATGATGGCACAGGCCTGTAATCCAAGCTACAAAGGAGACTGAGGCAGGAGAATAGCTTGAACCTGGGATGAGGAGGTTGCACTGAGCTGAGATTGTGTCACTGCACTGCAGCCTGGGTGACAGAGCCAAACTCTGTCTCTAAATAAATAAATAAAATTAAAAAAAAGAAAAGAAGTATCTAAATACCTAAAGGCAACACAACTTAAAAAACCATCATTATTCATCATACTAAAATTACATGTCTTCATGAAAAACAAGTGGCAGAAAGTTTGGTGTGCTATGTGGTGCAGAAATTCATCCAGTAGTCAGTCCTGCCCAGACTGATTCCATGTTTTTGTATTTTCTCATAGCTGAAAATATTAAATCCAGACAGAATCTCTGAGGCAACGACCGCGTGTGGGAAGTCAGCCTATTTAACTTGAGATCAACCGATCTACAGAGTATGCACATGGCTCTCTTGTAAAGAGGTGAGAAAAGATTTCAAAAAGCACTGTCGTCAGCAGAAAGGACCTTTACAGCCAGATGAAGCTCTGGTTGTTTTCAGCCACTTTCCTCTGCTGGGGAAAAGGCACATTAAAAAGACACAGCTGTCTATTTCAGTGTACACATGCTTGGTAGCATGGGTGTTATTTACTGATAAAAAGCACATGACAGCAATTTTAAAACAGGGCTTGTCCTGTCAGTCAAATTAGAGAGGCAGGATGTCCTCTCCAAGTGATTACCGTGGGGGCCCACAATGTGGCGGCCTGCCAGGTCAATTACAGCAGGGCTGTGAGGACACATGAAGAAGGATCGCCTTAATTCTAAACAGGAGCATCAGTAAAATAGAAACCAGGGGACATATTAACACAATGAACAATACCTTAAGACTGTGGCTTTGGCTAGAGCTGTAAAATGTATTTATATTGAGTGTTTCTCCATGTAAACATTTTTTTTTTAATTAACGAGAATGAATGTATAGGAATACAATTGCAAAATAACATTTGTATATTTCTGGAGAAAAACATTTCTCAAAGGAAAATTGGGATGCTATAATTTTCATCTCATCAAGAAAATTAGACACATGGGTAAATTAGCATTTGGAAACCTGACCAATGATATTTCATAATTGTTCATGTCCCTGATATGTCAATTTGCCTTCCATTTCTCCTATACTAAGATTAATTTCAGTTTCAAATGTCCTTGTCATTTTTTCTCCTCTCTATTGCACCTACAGCTTCTTTGTCTACAGGAAAAAATATTAAGAGATCAGCAGCATCAGTTGGAGGATTTACATCATCGACTATCTGAATACCAGGGACACATTCCTTTGTTTTACACTCATATTCCAGGAGTCTCATGGAAATGCATTAAACATCAGACAAAAAAATGTAGGCTGCTTGAATCGCAGCTTAATTGTTTAGGAACTAGATCCTGATAGTGCCCCAATAACAGAAGAAAATCCCTATTCACATCTACGTAGAGAAAATACTGGGCTGCTGACACTGAATTTTGCAGCTATGCGAAATTTAATGCTGATTAGTAAACTCTCAAATTAAACAGTGAAAGATTATAAAGACACATGCAAAAGATGTAAATTAAACCCAAAATATCAGAAATACCACAGTCATAATTTCCCACCTACCTAAAGAGTTATTTCTCAAAAAAAAATTGTTGCGAATTTATTTTATTTTGTTTTGTTTTGAGATGGAGTCTCCCTCTGTCGCCCAGGCTAGAGTGCAATGGCCTGATCTCAGCTCACTGCAACCTCCAGGTTCAAGTGGTTCTCCTACCTCAACCTCCCGAGTAGCTGGGATTATAGGCGCCCACCACCATGCCCAGCTAATTTTTGTATTTTTAGTACAGACGGGGTTTCACCAGGTTGGCCAAGCTGCTCTCGAACTCCTGACCTCAGGTGATCCACCCGCCTTGGCCTCCCAAAGTGCTGGGATTACAGGCGTGAGCCACTGCACCCAGCTGAATTTATTTTATTTTTTATTTTTTATTTTTTGAGATAGAGTCTTGCTCTGTCACACAGGCTGAAGTGCAATGGTGTGATCTCAGCTCGCTGCAATCTCTGCCTCACGGGTTCAAGCAATTCTCCTGCCTCAGCCTCCTAAGCCACCATGCCCGGCCATGAATTTAAATAAATTCAAAGATCCCATTAATGTTTATTACAACCCCAATAATATAGGTAGGCAGAATACAATCCTGAAAAAGGTGCCAAAAGTTGAAACAATGTAAGTCAACTCAGTTTCCCCAAGTTAAAATTATAAGAGTATATTAACTGGCTGGGCGTGGTGGCTCATGTCCGTAAGCCCAGCACTCAGGGAGGCTGAGGCAGGTGATCACCTGAGGTCAGGAGTTCGAGACCAGCCTGGCCAACATGGTTAAACCCCGCCTCTACTAAAAATATAAAAATTAGCTGGGCATGGTGGTGGGTGCCTGTAATCCCAGCTACTCTGGAGGCTGAGGCACGAGAATCACTTGAACCCAGGAGGCAGAGGTTGCAGTGAGCCGAGATTGCGCCATTGCACTCCAGCCTGGGTGACAAGAGTGAAACTCTGGCTCAAAAAAAAAAAAAAAAATTAAAAATGATACTAAAGACCTTAGAATTTCTGGACATATCTGTCCAAGTATCTGTCACGTGTCATTCTCACTATACAGAAAACAATCTCTAAAGTCATTGATGTCTACATGTCTAAACTTTTCACCATTTTTGACATCTTAATACTTTTAAATTACAATCCAAGTTAAAAGGGCAATGTAGGATTAGAATAGAAAGAGGTGAGGATTCAGAAATCCTCACATCAATTTCACAACTCCCTGTACGATGGAGGCCTCTCTTCCCTGATTCTTCCTTAGGGTTTTCAAACACGGAGTCCCTCCTAGGTGCCAGAGGTTGTTCTGGGCTCAGGCAGTACAATGGTGTATAAAGCTGCCAAAACCCTTGCCCTCATGTGGGGAGACAGACACGAGGCTGAGTAAGCCACACAATCTGTTAGGATGGTGATGAGTGCGTGGTGCATCATTTCATATAGGGTGATCAGGAAGGCCTCAAGATAAGGTGACATTTCAGGAAGGCCTAAAAGTTGAGGCATGCATCATGCAGATAACTGGGGAGAGCCATCCAGACAGGGAGGGCAAAGGCAGGGGCACAGGGCCAGGGGCCAGCAAAGAGGCCAGTGAGAAAAGGGCCATCCTAGGCTCTGGACTCTACTGCTGCTGGGATGGATGGCCCTGGGGAGTTCTTGCAGAAGAAACATAAGCCAATCACCCAAGGTGACTGTTAAAATGAAAATCCCCAGGCCTCTCAATCTGGACTTCTGATTCAGTAGGTTTGAGGCCCAGGGATTAAGATTTCTTAGTTTGCAGGTAGTTCAGCTGAGAGTGGCCCAAAGAGCATTCTCAGAAACACATTTCTGAATCCCTGATAGTTTGGCATCCCTCCTCTATTTCCTTATTTTTGGTCAGCTGCCCTCTACAACAAGCAGCCATCATTTTGCAGCCGTTTAGCGTTAAACAACTAGGAGAGAGATGATAAGAAGGAATACCCTAAGTATAAGAGTTAAAAACGAAGCCACTTAGTTTTTGTCTAGCAAGAGAGTCTGGCCCCAATATCTTCTGAGCTTTGCTGACATTCAGTGATTGGCTTGTAACTGACAAATGGTTGAATTCTATGAGTATGGGCGTCCTATGACTATCCTGGTCATTGATTTGACTAATGATTCCTGTGCCCTTGGGTTGACTAAAACGCAAGGCTGTTGTGTTTGGTGAGTTTGTTAAGGTGAAGGTCAAGTCAAATATTGACTGCAGAAGTGATATTACAGATACCCAAGTTCCCAGGTTGCGGAAGGTAAGAGAATTCAGATGACAGGGATTACAGGTGCAAAGAAGTAGTCCAATGATCCTAAATATTTTCAGTTCAAGTGCTTCTTTTAGGGATATTACTTAGTATTTCATCTCTTTTCCTTTGATGTCTAGATAGGTATTAAATATTGCAGCAATGAAAACAACTGACATCAGGTGCATTCTCTCTACATTATTTTATTTAATCCTAAAATAGCCCTGTGAGGTAACTACTGTATGGGTTAACCAAAGCCCAGAGATGTTACTTGCCCAAGAGTCACAGGGCTATTAACAGGCAGAATTGAGACTCTAACCTATGTCTGATTAATCCAACACCCATGTCTTAACCACTAAAATATACTGCTCCTTAAATCTATAAGAAACATACTTGCCATAAATGTTTTACATACGGCATTTCCACAAGAGAGCTTAATATTGAGATGCTGGTTAATTATCAGAGACAGCGTGATGCATGAGGAACACTAGTTTTGGAGCAAAACAGATCTGAGGCTCAAATCATTTGACCACTGAATAGCAAATGACTTAATAGGCCTGAGCCCCCAAACCTTCATTCATAGAGAACATTATGTCTCTCAGAAATTTAAGTGAGAAAATAAGTGCAATGCATGGGGCATATAGCACATAGCATAGATACTAATTCCTTCCCTACTGACTTGGAAGCAAACACTGACCATCACCTCCACCTCCACCTCCACCCGGGGCACAGAGCACAGCACTCGCGCAAACCCCCAACAGAGGGTAGAGGGTCATCTCGGTTGGGCTTGGGCTTCTGTAGCGGGGGGCTCACTGCTCCGCCGAGTGCCCTAACCACTGATGGACACCTCCAGCCCCTCTGAGGGTTCTTCCTCCTACTGACCCAATGGTCGACTCCCCCCAGGACTGCTTCTCTGAGGCAACACTGAGCAAACTGACTGCTCTTTCCTAGTGACAGTGCCACTAATAACTGAAGACAGTCAGTTGGTGTCCCCTGGTCTTTCTTTCTCTAAATTAAACATGTCCACTTCAGTCAGAAGTCCCTCTGATCACAATTTCCGAACAACACAGTATCCTAATTTTCCTCTGCTGGGAAAACTCTAGTTTTTCTGTGTCCTTTAATGCCAGGACCAGGGCCAAAAATTGAGATTGACATATTAAGCCAAGAATATGATTGGACTATTACATAGGCTAATCTAGAAAACTCACCTTGATAATCCCAGGCTTCTTGGCTAATCTTAGCGCCTTGGCCCAGAGCAGTCACATCGGCAAAAAATTCCCGCCCACTTCTCCTCCCAGTTCCACCCCTCACAGCAGCTGCTCACATCTTTCCTCCTCCCTTTTTTCCCTCCGAGGCCCTCCCTCAGCCTCTGTTTCATCTCTTCAGGAATCTCCTCTTCCCAGCCCAATCCTAAACCCAGGTAGCCTTTGTTCTAAATTTGTATAAGTGTGTTCTAAGTTCCTCGCCTCCCCAGTCAGCCAGTCAGCTCGGCAAAACAAAAGGACCTTCCCCCAAACCAGCTCTCCTTATTAAGTAGAGGAGGAGAGAGTTCTGTAATACTTGTAATTACTCAGACCCTGTCACACTTTAAGTAACTCAGCCTAAGACCATTATTATACCTGTACTTCATACCGCTGGCTGACCCTGAGCTTGTGGTCAACCCTGAGTCCTAGAGCTTTCATCATCTTAACTCCTGCCCAGGCCAATAGATAGCCTCAATCCTGTTATTGCATACAGTCATGTTTTGGAAAGCTAAACAAACAAAAAAACATGGCAAGGTGCAGGCCCAGCAAAGGGGCCAATGAGAAGAGAGCCGTCCTAGGCCCTGGACCCTCTGAAAGGTTTCTGACTATGAAACCTTTACTTTCATCCCAGGTAAGTCCAATTTTGGTTTAGCAAAATCAAAATTCTTCTTGCAGCTTATTGCAATCATTTCATTTTTGCTTCTGTTATCTCTTGTACTCTACTAGCTCTCCTTTTCGGATTTGTACCTTCTGTGAATGTGGTATGACTTTATGAGGATCATGGACAAAAATGTTGAGAAGAAACTAACCAAGGAAAACTTTTGTTGCATGGATAAATACATAGATGCATATAAAACAGGCAGTACATAATGGATACATAAGCATATAAGATGCTCATAAAATAACACAACCCTGAGGACACACAGAGATGCCAGGTAACATCACTGCACTGAGTCTAATAGTCTTTAGCACTCCCACACGAGCAAACCTGGCTGCAAAATCATGTTACACAGCAACAGAGGAATGCTCATAGCACAGAATTAAATAGAGATTCTAAGTCATGTGAGGGGGCAGCCAGGAAAAAGGGATGTTTATGTTATTTAAGTGACAATGAAAGTTAATTATACAGCACAGGAGACTAGAAAAGCTTTATTTGACGTTGCAGACTTTTAGTGACCACAGAAGCAGTTGTAGGTATTAAAATTTCATCCATCTCAGTGTCATTTATTTACTTTGCCAGATAATCAGTGATCTTGCATTTTTATCTTCTCACTTTAAATGTATGCACAGAATGTTCTCTCCTATGCGATCTCACATTTATTTTATTTTTTATTTACTTTATTGTTGATTTTTTTTTTTTTTTTTTTTTTTGAGACAGAGTCTCGCTCTGTCACCCAAGCTGGAGAGCAGTGGCGCGATGTCGACTCACGGCAACCTCCGCCTCCCGGGTTGAAGCCATTCTCCTGCCTCGGCCTCCTGAGTAGCTGGGATTACAGGCATGTGCCACCACGCCTGGATATTTTTGTATTTTTAGTATAGACAGGGTTTCACCAGGTTGGCCAGGCTGGTCTCCAACTCCTGACCTCAGGTGATCCACCCACCTCAGCCTCCCAAAGCGCTGGGATTACAGGTGTGAGCCACCGCGCCCGGCCTCAAGTTCATTTTAAAATCTGAATTGTCAGCTGGGCATGGTGGCTCACACCTGTAATCCCAGCACTTTGGGAGGCTGAGGTGGACGAATCGTGAGGTCAGGAGTTGGAGACCAGCTTGGCCAACATGGTGAAACCCTGTCTCTACTAAAAATACAAAAAAAATGAGCTGGGTGTAGAGGCAGGAGCCTGTAATCCCAGCTACTTGGGAGGCTGAGGCAGGAAAATCACTTGAACCCAGGAGGCGGAGGTTGCAGTGAGCCAAGATCACGCCACTGCACTCCAGCCTGGGCAACAGAGTGAGACTCCGTCTGAGAAAATAAAAATAAAAAAATTTAAAAAATATCTGAATTGTCCTGGTATTCCATCCAGTATCAGGCTTAAGTTGTCAAGAAGAGATACCAGTCTTGATTTCTGTGAACTGCCAGAATTACACAGAAATTTGCTCCACTTCCCGGAAAAGGCAAATAAAACATACCAGGATTTTAGGTGGTGCAAGTAAGTTGCTTGCCAGAGCAGCCATGGCTACATATAATTTGCCCAATTCCCATCAGGCATTTGGTTATTTAAATTTTAAGCATGCTTGATACAGCGGTCATATTAACCTTCCTTATATATGAGGAAAACATTTCAAGTTATAATTATGTTAATGGTATTCTAATAGTATTTTTAAAAAATTATATAACATTTATTACTCCGAGGAAATTAATGTCAGATGACACTAAAATAATTAAGTTTGAATTAATCACAGATTATATCACTTTGTTCTCTTCAACTTTTAAACATGTTTGATAATTATAATCTAACAAAGGAAAAATTAATAGAGAAAATAAGTCTAAAAATTTTCTCCTCCGAATTGGTAATTGGGGGAACAAAAGATGTGGGCAATTAGCAAATGAATATGGTGCTTCAAGACTGAAGAATTTAGGATATGTAACAGGTGACTTAGTTCAGGGTTGTTCCTAGAGGTAAGAAGTATCAATAGAATTTAAGAGTCTACACTGTTCATTCTATCAGTATATCTTCTATGGCACACAAGAAGCAATGGTTATTCAGTTATCTTAATTTCTTAAGTTATAAAAGTTAAATTTGAGCCAAAAGCAATTACCATGTAAAAGTGTATGCAGTTTTTTTTTTTTTTTTTTTTTGAGACAGAGTCTCACTCTGTTGCTCAGGCTGGAGTGCAGTGGCGTGATCTCAGCTCACTGCAACCTCTGTTTCCTGGGTTCAAGCGATGCTCCTGCCCCAGTCTCCCAAGTACCTGGCATTATAGGCGTGCGCCACCAGGCCCAGCTAAATTTGTATTTTTAGTAGAAACAGGGTTTTACCATGTTGGCCAGGCTGGTCTCGAACTCTTGACCTCAAGTGATCCGCCTGCCTCGGTCTCCCAAAGTGCTGGGATTACAGGCATGAGCTACAGCACCAGGTCGGTGTGCAGTTTTGACCTTGTTATTTGACCAAGGAAAATTTAGCCATTTGAAACAAACTCTTTTTTTTTTTTAAGACTGAGTTTCACTCTTGACACCCTGGTGCGATCTCGGCTCACTGCAACCTCCCCCTCTTGGGTTCAAGCTATTCTCCTGCCTCATCTTCCCAAGTAGCTGGGATTACAGGAGTGTGCCACCACGCCCGGCTAATTTTTGTATTTTTAGTTGAGATGGGGTTTCACCATGCTGGCCAGGATGGTCTCGAACTCCTGACCTCAGGTGATCCACCCTCCTCGGCCTCCCAAAATACTGGGATTACAGGCGTGAGCCACCGCGCCTGGCCCAACACACACTATTTCTTACATTAACTTGATGTCTCCTTTCACCTAACAGAAGCAAAATACACGCCTAATTGAAAGACAGTCAGTGTGTCAGACTGAAACAACCACCACCAAACAACCAAGGCACTGATCAGGAAAACAGCACTTTTCCCTTGATTCTGACTTTTTTTCTCACATACCTTTATTTGCATTATTCATAGGTTTTATCAGAGGTTTATTTCCTTGGGTTAATAATGAAACATTTTTCATTTGTTTCCACCAAGGGGCTTGCTATTCTACTATTGCTTAGAGCTTCGGGTGTCTCCATATGACAAATGCCAAACATATGCCAATCACAACATTCAACTGGTAGCATATGCTGAATTTCCCAGACGCCAGATCCAGTCAGGAACTTTCTGGTTTAATGAGTCTTGCCTATTATGTTTCTGGTACACATCATTACAGAATTTTTCCCCATCTACTTCCAAGAACTAGAATAAACCAGAAGAACAAAACAAACTACAACAAAACCATAATAAATCCTCTCTTCGTTTATCATCTATATGTCACATACGAAATTAGTTACACTAGCAGCATTTACTGAGGGCATGGCAAGATTTACTAAGTCTTGTTTCTCATGTTACAGCCAAATTTTATCAAAGTTGAAAATAACAATATTTTACATCCATATAGTTCTTTGTATTATTTATTTCAAAGGACTTTCAGAACTTTTACCTAATTGGATATTTACAAAAACCCGTCGATTGAAGTAGGCAGCAATTCTTTCTCCCACTTAATAGAGGAGATAAATGAAGCCCAGATAAATTAAGCAGCGCTCCCAATGTCACAGTTAGTTATTATTATTATATTATTTTTTGAGAAGGAGTTTCACTCTTGTTGCCCAGGCTGGAGTGCAATGGCACAATCTCAGCTCACTGCAACCTCTGCCTCCTGGGTTCAGGCGATTCTCCTGCCTCAGCCTCCCAAGTAGCTGGGATTACAGGCACACACCACCACAATGGGCTAATTTTTGTATTTTTAGTAGAGACGGGGGTTTCAACATGTTGGCCAGGGTGGTCTTGAACTCCTGACCTCAGGAGATACATCCACTTTAGCCTCCCAAACTGCTGGGATTATAGGCATGAGCCACCGTGCCTGGCCAACAGTTATTAACAGGGCCAAGATCCGATAAGAAGTTGCCTTGAACCTCACATCCACTGGTCTCCCACTATTCCTCATTAGGCTGTGCCAAGGACACAAAGTCAGCAGGGATCGAGACACCATTAACCTCCCTCCTGACACTGGAAGGTGGCCCCTACTTCCTCTCTGAGTTTTTTGTTTTTGTTTTTGTTTTTGTTGAGACGGAGTCTCGCTCTGTCACCAGGCTCGTGTGCAGTGGCGCAATTTTGGCTCACTGCAACCTCCACCTCCCAGGTTCAAGTGATTCTCCTGCCTCAGCCTCCTGAGTAGCTAGGACTACAGGTGCACGCCACTACGCCCAGCTAATTTTTGTATTTTTAGTAGAGATGGGTTTCACCATGTTGGCCAGGATGATCTCAATCTCTTGACCTCATGATCCGCCTGCCTCAGCCTCCCAAAGCGCTGAAATTACAGGCGTGAGCCACCGTGCCTGGTCCTCTCTCTGATAGTTTTTTAAACATTCAGAAAAATGTGAATGCATACTTAGGTTTCTGCCTATATTTCCTGAGAGAAAATCATGCCTCAACATCAAACGCAAAGATCAGTCTTAAATCTGGACCCAGGAACAGGAATTCTCCTAATTAAGCACATAATCCCATTTATCTCTCTAGAAACAACTGACATTCAAATAATGCTTCATTTCGTTTGTAAATACTAGTTAGATGGATTGTAATACAAACCAAAGAGACATTAATACAATTGTCCATTTCCTTTGGAAGGATGGCTATCCTTCCTATTTAAGCTAAAAGACATTTTCATTTGAAAGCCATTTGAGCTTGAGCTGCAATGAGCTCAGGTGCAAATTTCTTGATGAACGAGTCTAATAATGACACAAAATTTCAAAAAGACCAAGAGCTATTTCATGGATTATTTCCTGTGGCAATCATCTCAAGTTAAATAACTTGACATTTTAGAAATGGCATTGGGTAAATAACTCTCGGGTGCTTTTTTCACTGGTCCGCTCACTCCCCTTATCTTCCTGCTGACTAAGGAAGGTAAAGGGTATCCTCCACAGGAGGTGGGAATTCTTGGTCCTTTGAGGTAAAGGGATTTCCCATCATATCGTTCCATCTGAGGCTGTTATGGACTCAATCTTCCCCTCACATTTATATGTTGAAATCCTGCCCCCCCAAGATGATGGTATTAGGAGGTAGGGCATTCGGAGGGTTATTAGGGCACAAGGGTAGAACCCTCATGAGTGGGATTAGAGATCCCAGAAGCTAGCTCTGCCTCCTTCCTCAGTGTGAGGACACCCCCAGAAGACGGCCATCTTCAACCCAGAAGACGGCCCTCCTTCAAACCCAGAACTTGCGGACACCTGACTTCCAGCCTGACTTCCAGCCTCCAGCAGTGTGAGAAATACAGTTCTGCTGTTTATAAGCCGTCTATGGTAATTTGTTACAGAAGCCCAAACTGACCAAAACACAGGTTTCTATGAAGTTTGTTTTGAGAAACAGAAAAATGCTTGGTAGTTCTGCTATTGGTTATCATTTCTCAGACATTATAAAAATTATGTCAACAGCACCCTCGACATGTTATCTCTGGACAAACTGATGTGCTTCTAGAATTTTGAATTTATTTACTTAACTTTTATTATTAGCGATTAGTTTCTACACACGTTTGCAAAGACGGATAAAATCAGAGCCCTACCATTGAGTAGATAACAGCCTAGCAGGGGAGGTAGAAAGACAAAACTAATAGTAATAGAATGCGATAATCTTTTTTTTTTTTTTTTTTTGACCGAGTCTTGCTCTGTGGCCCAGGCTGAAGTGCAGTGGTGCAATCTCGACTCACTGCAACCGCTGCCTCCTGAGTTCAAGTGATTCTCCTGCCTCAGCCTCCCAAGTAGCTGGGACTACAGGCATATGACACCATGCCTGGCTAATTTTTGTACTTTTAGTAGAGACGAGGTTTCACCACGTTGGCCAGGCTGTCTCCAACTCCTGCCCTCAGGTGATCATCTGCCTCGGCCTCCCAAAGTGCTGGGATTGCAGGCGTGAGCCACCGCACCCAGCCAATAATCTCTTTAATAGGGATTAATGTAAAACAAAAAGAAAAAGCCACACAGTGGATGATGAAGCTAAATATGTCTCACCGTTTGTCTGGTGTTTTATAGAGGTGGTAAAATTTCAGTTGGTGGTTCCTAATAATATCACCTTCACAATAGAAAATAAAGATCTATGTGCAGATAGGTTAAGGTTACTCCAGTGATCAAGGTAGTGTAAAGGATAAAGTAAGAATGATAATAATAATGAGTATGTAGCTAAAAGTCAAGGATTGTAAAATATCACAGTAGCTTCGGCCTTTAGGTGGAACGAAGCCTGTCTTAGGTAGGATTTCCTAGAAGCAGACACTAAGTGGAAGTGAATTATTAGGAAGGGCTGTCCCAAGGGAGAAAGAAATAGAGCGTCTGGGGGCTAGACAGGGAAAGGAAGGAAGCCCAACAAGGGTGTGTCATTAGGTAAATTCTTATGAAGGGTTATTTTGGCTCATTGCTACAAGAGAACTCTAGAGACACTTCTCAGAGTTGTCCCGTTTGGGGGATGGGCAGATGATGAGAGTTGGGAGAAGGAGGAGCTGAAGTAAACACCCCCATCCTTGTCAGTCTTTGGTTAAAGACTCTCCTAGGGGTATGTAAGTCACCAGGCGAGGCTGGGCTCTACAGCTACTTGGTAAAGTTTCTGAGCAGTACAGCATCTGTTACAGGCCCATTTCAGAGGAGTTGGTTCTAGAGTCTATTTTATTAATATCTAAGCATATGTTAGGTTTTAAACAGAAAGCGTCAAGTCTCTGGTGGATGTGCAATAACATCACACCATATTTAAGTTCTTACAAAGATGTAGAAGGAAGATGTGGGTTTCAGAAATGTTCTGGAAACTAGAAACACTTCCCTGTGTGTCATGCTGCGACGGTGCCATGTCACGCAGCCCACTGGAGTGGCGTGTGAGGTAATGACATTGACTTCAGGTCCTGGTGAGAAGACTATTGCTAGGAGGCATCTGGCTGGCTGGTGGCTGCTCATATCCTACGCATACCCACCTGACAGATCTCTAGGATTGAAACAGAGAATGTATGTATGACTAAGCATAACAGCAAATTTTCTTCTGTATGTAATTTCAAGACCCTTCTTATCATCTCTCTTAGTGATCTAGTGATCTGATGCTTGTAATAGGCCTTCGTGAATATTCCTCACTTCAAAGTAGTCTGTGAGACACACATACAAACGAGATTCTATTAACAGGTCTGCCAGTGAAACAGCCCAAGTAGCAAATTTGATAGAGAACACGTACTTGGGCATACAAATCCCAAAACTATGTACTAATTCCACCAGGTATAAATCTCACCCACCAGACCAACGTCTGAAAACTATACCCAATTTCCAGTCCATAACAAGTTAAATGGAATTTAAGGAGGTTCGTTAAAGTGTTATAAACTTACAATATAAGAGCTACAAAAGAATATCATAAACAAATAATGAGAATAACTCCTTTTCTCTAAATATACAGTTATTCAGAGATTTCTTTTGTTCTTAGAGAATTGTTGTCAGTCTTCCTGATTATAAAAATAAAGTCTTGTTGCAGAAAATTAGGCAAGTACTTCTTAGCATTTTTCCCTTTTCCTTTTTCTTTTGGATATGCCGTTTTATTGAGGTGCAACCATATATAAAAACATACACAACTCCTAAGTACATGGTTGAGTTTTTATAAAGCAAAGAAACCTGTGTAAGAACCACCCAGAAGATGGTTTGGTTTCTGTTGAGGGCAGAGTAAGTTCATACAGAAGCTCCGGCCTCATCGTTGTAACATGTATTTGTGAGCTACTTGAAGAAACAGACCATTTCTTCTCTTGTCCTCCACAATCCTTGAATATTTCATTTGTTTTGGAGATTGACAGATCAAGTTATTCATTCATTAACAATTATTAATCCCTACTATGTGCTCAGCAGTCAGTGTGTGATGATGAGACTTGGAGTCTAGTGGAAGACACAGGTAATACAGAAGCAAATATACAAAGTGTTCACTATAAAATACAAAATGCTAGGGAGGAAATAAAACTGATACTGTGGTCAAGAATAACTAGGTATCCTACCTAGAAAAAATGGTTAGAGAAATAAATCAGAGATGAGATTTAGATAGAAACTTGAATAAAAAGAACACAGCCATGAGAAGAGAGAAGGAAAACACATTCCAAACAAAGGGAACACTGTGAACAAAGTACACAAATCCGGCTTGTTGCACAAATGGAAAATCAGGTGACTAGGCGTTGGTGGCCATAGGTGTGAGTCGGACAGCAAAGACAGAGACCAGGCCAGTCATGGCTATACTGGCCAGGAGAGTGACTTAAAGTGCTAAGTGCAATGTAGGGGGAAAAAACGGGGTTTTAGCAGGAAAGTGAAGGGACCGATCTACGTTTTAATAAGAGTACCTTGAACACTGTATGAGCGGGTGGCGAGAGACAAAGCAAGGTGCCGGCAGGTTATCGCGGTGGCAATGGAAGATGTACTCTGGAGGTATATCAACCATTTCTGTGGATGGATTGGATGTGGGAGTGTGGGAGGTGCAGAATCAAAATCCATCAAGTCTTTTTACTTCGGCAATTATGTGGAATGAGTTGTCATTCACTGAGATGGAGAAGATTCATGGAGAAATAAGTTTCCATGAAAAAAAGCAAGAGTTTAGTTTTGAACATATTACATTTCAGATGTTTGAGAAACATCCGCGTGGAGTTGTCAGGTAAGTAATTTGGATAAATGAGACGGGAGTGCTGAGAGGAGAGCTGAGCTGGAGATATAAATTTGGGAGTCATTAGCATATAGATGGTTTCTAAAGCCATGGGAATATAACTCAAGGAGAAGATAGAGAGGACGTGGGGCCAAGCTCTGAGGACCTTCAACCTTCAGAAGTTGTTCAGGTTCAAGCCAGAAAAGGCTCAAAACGCTAAGCAGAAAGAATCGTAGATGTAGGAGAAAAACCAGGTCTCAGAAGCCACGAAAGCAGAGTTTCAACCAGAGGGGGTGGTCCACAGTGCCCAGTGCTGGAGAGAGGCTGCGTAAGAACAAACGAGAGGAGCATCTAACTGGGCTTGGCATTGCCCAAAGCTGTTGGTGATGCTGTCTCAGGGGAGGAAAGATTAAATGGGAAGGGAAAATGGGGCAAGAAGTGAAGTGAGTGGGGTCCAGGTAAGTTCTTTAAGAGGCAGACGCTCTTACAACACAATGTGCATTGGGGAAATGAGAGAAGACAATAAAGGAGAGAGGGGACCAGCCAAAGGAACAACCTCTTTGATGAGGCAGAGGTGGGTGTCCAGCACAAGTGGAGGCCTTTGCATCTAAGAGGAGAAAGGACGCTTTTTCTCAAGAAATGGAAGACAAGAAAGTGAGTGCTCTTGGTGTCACCTTCTTAAATTGCAGTAACATATAAGGCAAAGTGAGCAGCCGGAAAGAAAGAGGCAGGGGAGGGTGGGAGGAGTGGGAGGTCTTATTAGAAGCAAGGGATAGATATAGGGGGGGTGCTGTAGAGAGTGGGAGCTCATACCTCAGGAAACCGGGTACTGACAAGGAGGGAAGAGCCATCTGCTGATGTGAACTTACAGTGTCCTCGGTTTACCCAAATGTTTACTACCAAAAAAAAAAAAAAACACCCTAAAGCTTCAAGGGAAAGAAACTAAAACACAGACCACCACAGTCATTTAAAGCTATGCATTTGCTCAGGAAGTGCAATAAAAAGCGTGTGGGTAACTGGGCGTGGTGGTGGGCACCTGTAATCTCAGCTACTCAGAAGGCTGAGGCAGGAGAATCTCTTGAACTTGGAGGCGGAGGTTGCAGTGAGACGAGATTGCATCACTGTACTCCAGTATGGGCAACAGAGCAAGAATCCATCTCAAAAAAAAAAAAAAAAAAAAAAAAAAAAAAAAAAAAAAAAAAAAAAAGGGTAAAAGTGAGTGGGGAAAAGGCAGCTGAAAGAACATGAGTGAAATGATGAACTTTGGAATCTCAGGTGGATAAAGACAGGAGTCATGGCAGGAGGGCTGGGGAAGGAGAGAAAGCGGCGAGGGACTCCCGTGGAGGTTAACACAGCAAGGGCTCTGCAAGCACCGCAGCTGTCGCTGGAGACGCGAATGCTTCATTTTGTTATTTTGGAGGTGAAGTAACATCTAGTTCGACTCTGTTACACTGAGAGTGTTCGATGAGAATAGAGTAGAAGAAAATGTCACTGAAGATGAGCAGATCAATGAATGAAGATACAGGATACTGAGGGGACCATTCATGTAAATAATGAGTTGCCAAGAAAACGGACAGAATGGCCAGGCGCAGTGGCTCACGCCTGTAATCCCAGCACTTTGGGAGGCTGAGGCGGGCGGATCACCTGAGGTCGGGAGTTCATGACCAGCCTGACCAACATCGAGAAACCCCATTTCTACTAAAAATACAAAATTAGCCGGGCGTGGTGGTAATGCCTGTAATCCCAGCTACTTGGGAGGCTGAGGCAGGAGAATCACTTGAACTCGGGAGGCAGAGTTTGCAGTGAGCCGAGATCGCCCCATTGCATTCCAGCCTGGGCAGCAAGAGCAAAACTCCATCTCTAAATAAATAAATAAAAAAGAAAAGAAAACGGACAGAATTTGGAGAACTGGGGGTGGCAGACAGGACAGATAAACATCCTCAGTGAGGTGGCGGGGGGCAGGAGGTTAACAGATGACAGTGGCAACACGGGGTGGGGGGAGCACAGCGCAGCGCAATGGCATGAAGATCAGGGGCTTTTACTAGAGCCATGGGAATGGCAGCTTGGCTGGTGTTGAGGAGGAAGCATCTCATGGCCTTGCCGGAGCCAGGCGTACATTGGGACGGCCTCCAGAGAAGGCGAAAGACCCAGCCAAGGCCAGGTCACCACAGAAATGTTCTAAAATGAGACTGAGAATTTAACAATGGGGTTTGTGATTGTGGGAAAAATTCCAAAAGCAGAGTGTATCAACTATCAAGAAAAATGATGAAATATACTTATTTGGGGGGCTTTATAGAAAGGAGGAATTCTGTGCTACACCTATTATATATCTAACTCAAAAGTCACTTATTCAGTTCCTTTTATACGCAATGGACTATGCTTCTAACAGACTTTTCAGCCACATGCAACAAAAAACCAAGTAGGAAGGGCCCATAGGTTGGTGCACAGGTCAGTATGTGATACCCCAACGCAAACACATGGTAAATGACTGGCAAAAGTCAATAATGGCTATATATATTATATATGGAGGCATTTATACAAAGAGGAATATATAGAAGGAGGAATTTAAAATCATGTCTAGAGTAATATAATAGATGTTAACAATCATGATAATAGTATTTCAAAGTATATTAAACAAAATGGATTCATTTCTAACCCAACCAGTAAAATATTCTTTGAACCAAGATTTTACTAGGATGCCAAATTTAAAAGTTAAAAAAATTCCAGCTTTTTGAGTAATGAGCAATTTCAGTCATCAATAAAATTAATGAAAATGAGAGAGCAAATTACACTAATCCATTGGGTAAAGAAAAACTTAAAACATTACCCAAATAGAAGCTTTCTTTTCTATTGCTTTTCATCAGTAATAGGTATCAACTACATTTAACAAAAACACTGTTGCTGAGATAACTCACCCTCTTGGTTTTTAAATACACTCAAGATATGTCATGTTTCAATAAATGATGTCAGCGTTACACTGTGTGAAAAAAATACAAAAAAAAAATTTAAGTTTCATCTATAAATATTATTCCATTGACATTTCATAATTAAAGTTTCTAAAGAATGAATTCAAGGCCGGTGGCTCACGGCTGTAATCCCAGCACTTTGGGAGGCCGAGGCAGGTGGATCACCTGAGGTCAGAAGCTTGAGGCCAGCCTGGCCAACATGATAAAACCCAGTCTCTACTAAAAATACAAAAACTAGCTGGGTGTGGTGGTGTATGCCTGTAATCCCAGTTACTTGGGAAGGCGAGGCAGGAGAATCGCTTGAACCTGGGAGGTGGAGGTTGCGGTGTGCCGAAATGGCTCCAGCCTGGGCAACAAGAGCGAAACTCCATCTCAAAAAAAAAAAAAAAAAAGTGAGAAAACATTGGAGAACATAACTTGATTGAGTGAGAAGGAAATGGCAGCTTAGAGCAGACCCTGAAAGCAGGGAGGCAGCTAGCTGGGCCTGATCTCCTGCTGCAGAAACAGGCAATACATCCGTACTGTGTGAAGCCCCTAAGTTTGTCACTATTTGTCATGCAGAAACAGGTAAGTAAGACATATTATAACTCGGAAAAAATCTCAAACCTGTTGCACAAGAAGTTATTTACCATTGTAAGCTCTCTGCGAAATGTTTTGGAAACCCAAGTTGAGAACAGCTTTGATCAGAGGCAACTGAAGGCGGGCAGAAGAAACCAAGCAGTAACTACTCAGCTGGTGTGTGTGTGTGTGTGTGTGTGTGTGTGTGTGTGTGTGTGTGTGTGTGTGTGTGTGTGTGTCAGTTTGGCAGACGCCTTCTTTTTTTTTCCCCTCTAGTGCATCATGTTGAAACTGTAGCTAATGCCGGGCGCAGTGGTTCACACCTGTAATCCCAGCACTTTGGGAGGCCGAGGCGGGGGGATCACGAAATCAGGAGATCGAGATCATCCTAACCAACACAGTGAAACCCCTTCTCTACTAAAAATACAGAAATTAGCCAGATGCAGTGGCGTGCACCTGTAGTCCCAGCTACTCAGGAGGCTGAGGCAGGAGAATCGCCTGAACCCGGGAAGCAGAGGTTGCTGTGAGCCGAGATTGCACCACTGCACTCCAACCAGGTGACAGAGCGAGACTCCATCTCAAAAAAAAAAAAAAAAAAGAGAAAAGGAAGCTGTAGCTTAGAACAGGAGAATGCAAGTGATTATTATCAGGAATTGCATCTGTGAGGGAACCTGAGGACTCAAGCCAGCCCAGCAGAGGGCAAGGCAGCACAGGGCATGAGTCATTCTCCTGATGCTACCTTCACAGGATATCAGACAAAGGAAACTGAGCACCTGCCCCATTTGATGAAATAAAGCAGATAAAAGATAATACATTTAAACAATTAGATGTGTATCTTTTATATCCAAGCAATATTGTACAGAAAGGCACCACCTCTACCTTATGACAAGTGTTACTACCCATACTCAGGAAACCCCGATGTTGCCAGCACAGAAGCCAGGACAACAGAAAGCTGAACAATTCCTTTTGCCCAATGTGAACATCTCCAATAAGGCTCCAGTTTGGAAGACTTCTGAAGGCCTTTCAAATTCATAATAAATGCTATGAACTGCCACACTTAATCCCCTGTATTCTGGCTGGGCCAGCTGTTATAATACACCACCCCACAGTCATTGCTGCTTGGTAGTCGAACAAACACGCTGGAGTCAGAGGCCAGAGTCCTTCCTCATGCCACCAGCTTCCCTGAGCCTAGTCCCAACACCATTCCCCCCAGGGCACTTTGCTGTGGCCTCACTGGGTGTGCCCACGTGGTCTTGCCCTGAACCCCAATCTGTAATCAGCACCAGCTCTTCAGGCGTTGACCATAAAAGGCACTGAATGATGGTGGTGTTTTTTTGTTTTCTGTTTTCTGTTTGTTTGTTTTTTTGAGATAGAGTCTTGCTCTGTCTCCCAGGCTGGAATGCAGTGGCATGATCTCACTACAACCTCCACTTCCCAGGTTCAAGTAATTCTTATGCCTCAGCCTCCCGAGTAGCTGGGATTATCAGGCGCCCGCCATCACACCCAGCTAATTTTTGTATTTTTAGTAGAGATGAGGTTTCACCATGTTGGCCTGGCTGGTCTCGAACTCCTGACCTCAAGTGATCCACCTGCCTCGGCCTCCCAGAGTGCTGGGATTACAGGCGTGAGCCACTATGCTCGGCGGATGGTGCTGTTAACAACAGTATCTATCCTTGACAATATAGGGCTTCTTCTGACCACCTCAAAGATGCTACTGCATCAGGCTTTACCAAATTCTTCTCTTGTTACATGAGTTTCAGCTCAAGAATCAGATCATGGGGGAAGCTTCAAGAGCAGCAAAACTTGTAATTTTTGCCCAGTTGCCCTACAAGAAAATAAAGTTTTGACTCTTAGGCATAATCACCATGGTGAGAACCTATATATTAATATCTACACACAAGTATCTATATCTCTCCTTTTAAATATACTCTTTAGATGGCTGCTCCTTACGACAAAGGTTTTATTTGGTGATTTGATGATAAAAAAAATCACTTTTCTTTATGGTGACTATTATGCCATCATCTTTACTAACAAGTATATTATCAGGAATCTCAAAGAAAGTGGCATTCATGTTATAGCCTTCATTACTTCAAACTATTCCGGATTCCCCATATTATTTTACATATTTTCACTGACTTTTAAGCAAATGCTTTAATTTTCCCTTTTTTTTTTTTTTTTTCTGAGACGGAGTTTCGCTCTTCTTGCCCAGGCTGGAGTGCAATGGCGCCATCTCGGCTCACTGCAACCTCCGCCTCCTGGGTTCAAGCGATTCTCCTGCCTCAGCCTCCCAGGTAGCTGGGATTACAGGCATGCGCCACCACACCTGGCTAATTTTGTATTTTTAGTAGAGATGGGGTTTCTCCATGTTGGTCAGGCTGGTCTTGAACTCCCGATTTCAGGTGATCTGCCTGCCTCAGCCTCCCAAAGTGCTGGGATTACAGGCATGAGCCACTGTGCCCAGCAATTTTCTACTTTTTTTTTTTTAATTTCTTAGATGGGGTCTCATTCTATCACTCAGGCTGGAGTGCAGTGGAGTGATCTTAGCCCATCACAGTCTCTGCCTCCAAGGCTCAAGCGATTCTTCTGCCTCAGCCTCCTCTGTACCTGGGATGTGCCACAGGTATGTGCCACACACCCAGCTAATTTTTGTATTTGTGGTAGAGATGGAGTTTTGCCATGTTGCCCAGGCTGGTCTCAAGTTCCGGAGCTCAAGTGATCTGCCCACCTCAGCCTCCCGAAGTGCTAGGATTACAGCATGAGCCACCGCGCCCAGCCAACTTTTCTACTTTAAAAAGGCAATTGGTGAAACCTCTTCTCTACTAAAAAATACAAAAAATTAGCTGGGCATGGTGCCAGGTGCCTGTAGTCCCAGCTACTTGGGAGGCTGAGGCAGGAGAATGGCGTGAACCCAGGAGGCGGAGCTTGTAGTGAGCCAAGATCGTGCCACTGCACTCCTGCCTGGGCGACAGAGCAAGATTCCGTCTCAAAAAAAAAAAAAAAAAGGCAATTGGTAAGTTGTATGAACATTTTGAAACTCAAACATTTTTGTGTTACCAGGAAATTCACTATAGAGAGAATGAAAACTACGACTATTTGTAAATAATACTATGACACAGACTGCGACAGGCCACTAGGCTGATTTGCAGGTAAAATTTTTGTTCTATCAAAACCTTAAAAACCACATGGACACACACACAGCCTTCCCCAGCCCCTGCCATCCCATCACACACCCTTCCCCAGCCCCTAACATCCCATTTGTGGATGTAACTGACATATAGGAAGACAGCCCATAGTTATCATTTAGGTTCACCTTGTCCCTGGAATTGTGCTACATAAAGAAACTGAGAAGCATTTCTACAAGAAAGCTACGGGTCACTTGTGAAAAGCCCCAATTCATCCCAGCTGAGGCATTTATCTTGTTGGAATCACTGGTAAAAGGGAAAGCCTTGTCTCTTAAAGACTTTCAGTTATAGAGGCTACATAAAAAGCAATGGCCACCACAAAGCTTAAACAGATAAACTATCCATTTTGTGTCTTCTCCTATACATTAGTAATTACTTTTAAAAACATCTCCACCTGTACCTTAGCCTCTTATTCCTCACCAGTATTCCTTACCAATAAGCAACACATATCCTACTGATATTTTGTTGATGGAGATAGAAATTAAATAGGTGGCTAATTCTTCTTCACATACGAGAAAGGAAAGTTATGGAATGAAAATGATGTCTCTAAGGTCCTAAATTTTTCAAACTAGTGCCACCTAATCTGTGACCATGGCTAAATTCTCTTGTCTCAGCTTTCTTCCATATAAAATGAGTTGTCTAACAAACAGTAAGCTCAATTAACATCTGATACCATTATTATTAAACTTTTTCTATTTATATGTATTTCATTCTCAGTTAATATGATGACAGAAGGGGATAAACATAACTTATCAACGACATTAATATGACTTCTTTCCCCTACTACATTCGTTAATAAAGAGGTTATAATTAGGTTTCAAAGACAGCATTTCATTAAGGTGATTTCATTCAGATACAACTATTTGCATATAAGTGCAATAAAAACCTTAGAAGTTTCTATTTGACTATGTTAGCTTCATAAGTAGAAATAATACACATGCTTTATGCTTAGGTTAAAAATCAGCCTAACAATATATTCATGATTAGTTCAAAAGAGCAGACATCAATTACCTATAAGTTTATAACTGTCAACACATAACAATTACAAATTAGAAACAGAGTAATCAAAGTCAGGTCATAATCAATGTCCAGAAGGTCAAAGACATGCAGAGGCCAAATGCATCTTCTAAGTGTTGCCTGGATCAATGTCTTATATTTTACAAGTGTAAACATGGAAAAATCAAGTTATTTTTAATACACTTAAGAAATGAAGTGATTTTTAATACATCCCATATAGTAAAAACATAAATTTGAACTAATGTCATAACACCCTTCTGGTGTCCTTTTCATTAAAATGCACTACCCTAATCATGTTTACAATTGATATTTCTCTGAAGTATAAATTACAGATTGTGTTAACAAATTTGCAAAATGTGGCAAAAATATCCATTGCCAACATATATTCATTCAAGTCAATCAGTGTATACTTAATGAGTGTCTTCTTTCTCCAGAAACTTTACTAAGATGGAAAGAAGGCTTTCAATTAAAGCCCAGAGAGAGAGAGGCAAAAAAAAAAAAAACCCAGGTCATTATAAAACATGAAAATCTGTGAAGTTATAAAGATGCCCACTGGGTATGAGGGTGATAACAGAGATCATTTCCAGGTAACAGAAAAGACTTTATAAAAGGGTCATGTCTGAGTTGAGCCGTAACTGAGGAGTATTTGACCAGATGGGACTGAGGAAGGAAAGACGATTTGCAGCCTAGGCGATCAAAGGAGCAGGGCGACGGGGAGAAATCCATGGAGCGTGTCCAACTACAGTCAGTCTGGTGTGAGATGCTGCAGTCCCAAGCGCATGGAGTGATGAAGATAAAGCTGAGGTCTCCAGGTTGCGGAGAGCCTTAAGTATTAAGGGGCTTGGGCTTTATTCTTTGGGCAATGATATTTACTAAACAGTTTCAAGCACAGGAATGCCATGGTCACATTTTTCATTGTAAAAGAACATGCTTATAGCAGTGGAGTAGATATTGAAGAGAAAGACTGAGCGAAAGAAGAAAGCCAATGACTATCTAGTTTTTAAAAGATAATCTAGTGAGATGCAGACAAGATGGTAGAATAGAAAGCTCCACCGTTCGTCCCCCGACCCCGCAAGGACACCAAGTTAACAGCTAATCTACATAGGAAAAACACCTTCTTAAGAACCAAAAATCAGGTGAGCACTCATGGTACTTGATTTCCACTTCATATCCCTGAAAGAGGCACTGAAGTGATTTAAAAAAACAAAAACAAAAACAAAAAAAACCCGTCCTGAATCTGCTGACACCACGCCTCCCTTACTGGGGGCGAAGAGCATCTCTGGGCACTAGGGGAGGGAGAACACAGCAATTGTGAGGCATTAAATTCAGTGTTGTCCTGTTACAGCAGAAAGGAAAACCAGACCAAACTCAGCTGATGCCTGCCCATGCCAGGGGGAATGCAGATCCCTGTGGTCGGAACTTGAGTGCCTGCAAACCTTGCCACAGAGGGCTACAGCACTCTGAGTCTCCAGGTCAATGTGAAAGGCAGTCTAGGCCATAAGGACTACAACTATTAGGAAAGTCCTAGTGCTGAACTAGGCCCAGAGACAGTGAACTGGGGGTGGGAGGGCACGTGACATACTGAGACACTAGCTGGGACAGACAAGGGAGTGCTGGCATCACTGCTCCCCTAATCCCAGGCTGCACAGTTCTCAGCTCCAGAAAAGACCCCTTCCTTCCACTTGAGGAGAGGAGATGGAGGAGTAGGGAGGACTTTGTTTTGTATCTTGGATACTAGCTTAGCCACAGCAGGAAAGGGCAACAGACTGAATTGTGAGGCCTCTGTTCTAGGCCCCAGCTACCAGACAACATTTCTAGACACACTCTGGCCCACAAGGGAACCCACTGCCTTGAAAGAAAGGAGCTGGTGCCAGCAGCATTCATCACCTGTTAACTGATGAGCCCTTGGGTCACGAATAACCAGCAGCAATATCCAGGTACCACGTCGAGGGCCTTGGGTGAGGCTCTGGGACATGCTGGCTTCAGGTACCAGCACAGCTACTGGGGTCCAAAATGCCAAGTGTGCTCTTGGGGTCCCCAGTTCCAGGACTTGACCCTTGGATGGCATTTCTGGACCTGCCCTGGGCCAGTGGGAAGTCCACTGCTCTGAAGGGTGAGTCCCAGACCAGGTGGCATTCACTACAAGCTGACTTAAGAGCCTTTGGGCCTTAAGGGAACATCAGGGCTAGTCTGGCAGTACTCCTCATGGTCTGGGGTAGTGGTGATTACAGGGTGAGGCTCCTCTGCCTTTGGAAAGGGGAGAGAAAACTGGGAAGGACTGTATTTTGTGTTTTGAGTGTCAGCTCAGCAGCAATACCAGGTTGATGTCTAAGACTTTTGACTCTAGTTCCTGACCCCCAGATGGCACCTCTGGACCTACCCAGAGAGCCTGGCAGACCTCACTGCCCTGAAGGGGAAAAAACAGGCCTTTATCACCTACTGATTATAAAACCCCAGGGCCTTGAGTGAACATAGGCAGTAGCCAGGGAGTGGTTACAGCAGGACTTGGGTGAGACTCAGCCCTTTGTTGGCTTCATGTCTGACTCAACAAAGTCATAGTGGTGGTGGCCACAGGGGTGCTTGTGTCACTCCACCTCAAGCTTTAGGTGGCTCAGAACAGAGAGAGAGAAACTCTTTGTTTAAGAGAAAGCAAGAGAGCCGGGCGCAGTGGCTCACGCCTGTAATCCCAGCACTCTGGGAGGCCGAGGCGGGCGGATCATGAAGTCAGGAGATCAAGACCATCTTGGCTAAAGCAGTGAAACCCTGTCTTTACTAAGGAATACAAAAAAATTAGCCAGACGTAGTGGTGGGCGCCTGTAGTCCCAGCTACTCGGGAGGCTGAGGCAGGAGAATGGCGTGAACCCAGGAGGCGGAGCTTGCAGTGAGCTGAGATCGCGCCACTGCACTCCAGCTTCGGCGACAGAGCGAGACTCCATCTTAAAAAACAAAAAACAAAAAAAAAAAAACAAAAAAAGAGAAAGCAAGAGAAGAGAACAAGACTCTCTGTCTGGTAATCAAGAGAATTATCACAGATCTTGTCCAAGACCATCAAAGCAGCACCTCTATGAGTCTGCAAGAACCACAGCATTACTGGGCTTGGGGTTCCCCCTAAAGTAGATACAGCTTAGATCACAATACCCAAGTCCTGTTAAATATCTAGAAAGCCTTTCTGAGAAAGATGGCTACAAATAAGCCCAGACAGTGAAGACTAAAATAAGTACCCAACTCTTCAATGCCCAGACACCAAAGAACATCTGCTAGCATCAACACCATCCAGGAAAACATGATCTCATCAAATGAACTAAATAAGGCACCAGGGACCAATCCTGGATAAATAGAGCTATGTGACCTTTCAGACAGAGAATTCAAAATAGCTGTGCTAAGAAAACACAAAGAAAATTCATGATAACACAGAGAAGCAACTCATAATCCTATCAGATACATTTAACAAAGAGAATGAAATAATTAAAAAGAATCAAGCAGAAATTCTGGAGCTGAAAAACACAATTGGCATACTGAAGAATGTATCAGAGTCTTTTAATAGCTGAACTGATCAAGGAGAAGTAAGAATTAGTAAGCTTGAATACAGACTATTTGAAAATACAGAGTCTGAGGAGACAAAAAAAAAAACCACAATAAATTATGCCTTGCCTACAGGATCTATAAAATAGCCTTAAAAGGGTAAATCTAAGAGTAATTGGGCTGGGTGCGGTGGCTCATGCCTGTAATCCCAGCACTTTGGGAGGCCGAGGTGGGTGGATCACAGAGTCAGGAGATCGAGACCATCCTGGCCAACATGGTGAAACCCCGTCTCTACAAAAAATACAAAAATTAGCCAGGTGTGGTGGTGGGTGCCTGTAATCCCAGCTAGTTGGGAGGCTAAGGCAGAAGAATCGCTTGAATCAGGGAGGCAGAGGTTGCAGTGAGCTGAGATAACACCACTGCACTCCAGCCTGGCAATAGAGCAAGACTCCATCTCAAAAAAAAAAGAACAAAAACAAAAAAAACAGTAATTGGCCTATTGGCCTTAAAGAGAAAATAAAGGACAAGATAGGGGTAGAAAATGTATTTAAAGGGATAATAACAGAGAACTTCCCAAACCTAGAGAAAGATATCAATATACAACTACAACAAGGTTACAGAACACCAAGGAGATTTAATGCAAAGAAAACTACATCAAGGCATTTAATAATCAAACTCCCAAAGGTCAAGGATAAAGAAAGGATCCTAAAGGCAGCAAAAGGAAAGAAATAAATAACATACAATGGAGCTCCAAAACATCTGGCAGCAGACTTTTCAGTGGAAACCTTACAGGCTAGGAGAGAATGGCATGACATATTTAAAGTGCTGAAGGAAAAATCTTTTATCTTATAATAGTGTATCTGGCAAAACTATCCTTTAAACATGAAGGAGAAATAAAGACTTTCCCAGACAAACAAAAGCTGGAGAATTTCACCAATAGCAGACCTGTCCTACAGGAAATGCTAAAAGGAGTACTTCAATCAGAAAAAAAAAAAAAAAAATTAATGAGCAATAAATAATCACCTGAAGGTACAAAACTCACTGGTAATAGTAAGTACACAGGAAAACCTAGAATATTATAACAGTGTAACTGTGGTGTGTAAACTACTCTTACCCTAAGTAAAAAGACTAAACAATGAACGAATCAAAAATAATAACTGAAATAACTTTTCAAGGCATAGTGAGTACAATAAGATATAAATAGACACAATAAAAAGTTAAAATGCCAGGGGATAAAGTTAAGGTATAGAGTTTTTATTAGTTTTCTTTTTGTCTCTTTGTTTATGCAATTGGTGTTAAGTTGTTATGAGGTTAAAATGATAATATCAAACCAAAACAACACACAGTGGAGACACAAAAAAGAAAAAGCAAGAAACTAAAACGTATCACCAGAGAAAATCACCTCTGCTAGAGGAAGATAGGAAGAAAAGAAAGAAGGAAGAGAAGACAACAAAACAACGAGAAAACAAATAACAAAATGGAGGAGTAAGTCCTTACTTATAAATAATAACATTGGCCGGGAGCGGTGGCTCAATGTGTATAATCCCGGCACTTTGGAAGGCTGAGGTGGGCGGGTCACCTGCCTGGGAGGTCAGGAGTTGGAGACAAGCCTGGCAAACATGGTGAAACCCTATCTCTACTAAAAATACAAAAATTAACCAGGCGTGGTGGTGTGTGCCTGTAATCCCAGCCACTCCAAAGGCTGAGGCAAGATAATTGCTTGAACCTGACAGGCAGAGGTTGCAGTGAGCTGAGATCGTGCCATTGCACTCCAGCCTGGGTGACAAGAGTGAAACTCAGTCTCAAAATAAATACATACATACATACATACATACATACATACATACATACATATAATGAATGTAAAGGGACTAAACTCTGCAACAAAAAGACACAGACTGGGTGAATGGATGAAAAAAACAAGACTCATTTATATGTTGCCTACAAGAAACACACTTCACTATAAAGATCCACATAGATTGAAAATAAAGGGATGGAAGAAGATATTCTATGCTAATGGAAAACAAAAAATGGCAGGAGTTGCTATACTTATATCAGAAAAAATAGATTTCAAGACAAAAACTATAAGAAGATATAAAAAGGTCACTATATAATGATAAAGGGGTCAATTCAGCAAGACGATATAAGAACTTTAAATATATATGCACCCAACACTGGAGCACCCAGATATATTAAGATAAAGCACATGGTATTAGAGCCAAAGAGAGAGATAAGCCTCAATACAATAATAACTAGAGACTTCAGTACCCCACTTTCAGAACTGGACAGGTCTTCAAATAGAAAATCAACAAAGAAACATCAGACTTAATCTTCATGATAGCCCAAAAATCAGCAGCATTTCTATATGCCAAGAATTAGTAGAAGAAAATAATAATAAAGATCAGAGCAGAAATAAATAAATTGAAATGAAAAAAATACAAAAGATCAATAAAACAAAAAGTTGGTTTCTTGAAAAGTCAAACAAAATAGACAAATCTTTAGCCAGGCTAACAAAGAAAAAAAGAGAGAAGATCCAAATAAAACCATAAATGAAAAACGAAACATTGCAACTGATACTGCAAAAGTTCAAAGGATCATTAGTGGCTACTATGAGCAACTATATGTCAATATATTGGAAAGTCTAGAAGAAGTGGACAAATTCCTAGATACATACAACCTACCATTATTGAACCAGGCAAAAAAATCCAAAACCCAAACAGACCAATAACAAGTAACAAGATTAAAGCCATAATAAAAAATCTTCCAGTAAAGAAAAGCCCAGGACCTGATGGCTTCACTGCTGAATTCTACCAAACATTTAAAGAAGAACTAATACCAACCCTACTCAAACTATTCCAAAAGACAGAGGAGGAGGGAATACTTCCAAACTTGTTCTACAAGGCCAGTATTACTCTGATACCAAAACCACAGACACATCAAAAAAAGAAAACTACAGGCCAATATTTCTGATGAATATTGATGCAAAAATCCTCAACAAAATACTAGCAAACTGAATTCAACATTACATCAGAAAGTGGGATTTATCCCTGGGATGCAAGGATGATTCAAAATATTCAAGTCAATCAATGTGATACATCATATCAACAGAATGAAAGATAAAAATCATATGATGATTTCAATTGATGCTGAAAAAGCATTTAATAAAATTCAACATCCTTCATGATAAAAATTCTCAAAATACTGGGGATAAAAGGAACACATCTCAACATATGGCTTTTATTAAAAGCCATAAATGACAGACCCACAGGTAGTATCATACTACATGGGGAAAAACTGAAAGCCTTTCTTCTAAGATCGGGAACATGACAAGGATGCCTGATGTCACCACTGTTATTCAACATAGTACTGGAAGTCCTAGCTAGAGCAATCAGAAAAGAGAAAGAAATAAAAGGCATCCAAATTGTAAAGGAAGAAGTCAAATTATCCTTGTCTGCAGATGATATGATCTTATATTTGGAAAAACCTTAAGATTCCACAAGAAACCATTAGAACTGATACCCAAATTCAGTAGAGTTGCAGGACACAAAATCTACATACAAAAATCAGTAGCATTTCTAAATGCCAACAGAGAACAATGTGAAATAAATAAAAGAAATTTTTAAAAATTCCATTTACAATAGCCACACATAAAATTAAATTCTTAGGAATTACCCAAAGAAGCAAAAGATCTCTATAATGAAAACTATAAAACACTAATGAAATAAATCAAAGAGAATGCCAAAAAAGGAAAAATATTCCATGTTCATGGATAAAATCCAATATTGTTAAAATGTCCATACTACACAAAGCAATCTACAGTTTCAGTGCAATCTCTATCAAAATGCCAATGACATTCTTCTGGGAAATAGAAAAAAGAATCCTAAAAGTTACATGGCACCACAAAAGACCCAGAATAGCCAAAGTTATCCTAAGCAAAAGGAACAAAACTGAAGGAATCACATTACTTGACTTCAAATTATACTACAGAGCTATTGTAAGCAAAACAGCATGGTACTGGCATAAAAACAGACACACAGAGCAATGAAACAGAACAGAGAGCCAAGAAACAAATCCACACACCTACAGCAAACTCATTTTTGACAAAAGTGCCAAGAACATACACTGGGAAAAAGAGTTTCTTCAGTAAGTGGTGCTGAGAAGACAGGATATCAATAGGCAGAAGAATGAAACTAGACTTCTATCTCTCACCATATATAAAAATCAAAGCAAAATCGATTTAAAAATTAAATAGAAAACCTCAAACTATGAAATTACTTCAA
Source organism: Homo sapiens (assembly GCF_000001405.40). Lineage (NCBI taxonomy): Eukaryota > Metazoa > Chordata > Mammalia > Primates > Hominidae > Homo > Homo sapiens. The sequence goes on from NC_000006.12 coordinate 162,568,167, forward strand.
GAAAACATTGGGGAAACTCTCCAGGACACTGGTCTGTCTGGGTAAAAATTTCTTGAGCAATACCCCACAAGCACAAGCAACCAAAGCAAAAATGGACAAAGGGGATCATATCAAGTCAAAAAGCTTCTGCACAGTGACCAAGAAGCAGCTTCTCTGCTCCTTCTGGAATCTCTGCCTGGTTCAATCCACTTGCCTCTACTCCTGCCTCCACCATGTCCATCAGGGTGACCCAGAAGTCCTATAAGGTGTCCACCTCTATGGGCAGCAGCAGCTTCCGGGGGTGGCCTGGGTGGAGGCTCTGGTGGGGCCGGCGGCATGGGAGGCATCACCGCCGTTGTGGTCAACCAGAGACTGCTGAGCCTCCTTAACCTGGAGGTGGACCCCAACATCCAGGCCGTGCAGGAGCAGGAGAAGGAGAAGGAGCAGATCAGGACCCTCAACAACAAGTTTGCCTCCTTCATAGGCAAGGTACGGTTCCTGGAGCAGCAGAACAACATGCTAGAGACCAAGTGGAGCCTCCTGCAGCAGCAGAAGATGGCTTGGAGCAACATGGGCAACATGTTCAAGAGCTACATCAACAACCCTAGGGGGCAGCCGGACACTCTGGTCCAGGAGAAGCTGAAGCTAGAGGCAGAGCTTGGCAACATGCAGGGGCTGGTGGAGGACTTTAAGAACAAGTACAAGGATGAGATCAATAAGTGTACAGAGATGGAGAATGAATTTATCCTCATCAGGAAGGACATGGATGATGCTTACGTGAACAAGGTAGAGCTGTAGTCTCAGCTGGAAGGGCTGGCTGACGAGATCAATTTCCTCAGGCAGCTGTATGAAGAGGAGACCTTGGAGCTGCAGTCCCAGATCTCGGACACATCTATGGTGCTGTCCAGGACAACAGCCACTTCCTGGACATGGACAGCATCATTGCTGAGGTCAAGGCGTAGTATGAGGAGATCACCCAACCTCAGCCGGGCTGAGGCTAAGAGCATGTACCAGATCAAGTATAAGGAGCTGCAGATGCAAAGACTGAGATCTCCAAGATGAACTGGAACATCAGCCAGCCCCAGGCTGAGACTGAGGGCCTCAAAAGCCAGAGGGCTTCCCTGGAGGCCACCATCGCAGATGTCAAGCAGCGTGGGGAGCTGGCCATTAAGGATGCCAACACCAAGCTGTCCAAGCTGGAGGCTGCCCTGCAACAGGCCATGCAGGACATGGCGTGGCAGCTGCATGAGTACCAGAAGCTGAAGAACATGAAGCTGGCCCTGGACATCGAGATTGCCACCTACAGGAAGCTGCTGGAGAGTGAGGAGAGCCACCTGGAGTCTGGGATGCAGAACATGAGTATCCATACAAAGACCACCAGCGCCTATGCAGATGGTCTGAGCTTGGCCTATGGGGGTCTCACAAGCCCTGGCCTCAGCTATGGCCTGGGCTCCAGCTTTGGCTCTGACATGGGCTCCAGCTCCTTCAGCTGCACCAGCTCCACCAGGGCCATGGTTGTGAAGAAGATCAAGACCTGCGATGGGAAGCTGGTATCCGAGTCCTCTGATGTCCTTCCTAAGTGAACAGCTGCGACAGCCCCTCCCAGCCTGCCCCTCTGGTGGCTGCCCCAGAGCCTGGGAGGGAGGCTGCTGTGCAGCGGAGCACAGGGAATGGGAGACCCACCTGAGGCTCAGCCCTAGCCCTCAGCCCACCCACGGGGGAGTTTACTGCCTGGGGACCACCTTGCCCATGCCTTCAGCTACAAAACAACTCAACTGCTTTTATTTTTTTCCCCCCAAAATAAAACCTCAGCTAGCCCTGAAAAAAAGGCTTCTGCACAGTAAAAGGATACAATCAACAAAGTGAAGAGACAACCAAAATAATGGGAGAACATATTTGCAAACCCTGCCAGGGGATTAATAATCAGAATATACAAGGAGCTCAAACAATGCTATAGGAAAAAAATATATAATAATCTGATCATTTTAAATAGGCAAAAGATTTGAACAGACATTTCTCAAAAGAAGACATACAAATGGCAAACAGGCATATGAAAAGGTGGTCAACATCACTCATCATCAGAGAAAGGCGAATCAAAACTACAATGAGCTATTATCTCACCCCAGGTAAAATGGCTTGTATCCCAAAAGACAGGCAATAACAAATGCTGTCAAGGTTGTGGAGAAAAGGGAACCCTCATATACTGTTGGTGAAAATGTAAATTACTACAACCACTATGGAGAAGATTATTTTTTAGTTTTGAGGTTCCTCAAAAACTAAAAATTAAGCTACTATTTGATCCTGCAATACCACTGCTGGGTATATATCCAAAAGAAAGGAAATCAGTGTATACAAGATATATCTGCACTCCTATGTTTGCTAAAGCTCTGTATATAATAGTTAAGATTTGGAAGCAACCTAAGCATCCATCAACAGATGAATAATGCATAAGGAAAACGTGGTACACATGTACAATGGAGTACTATTCAGCCATAAAAAAGAGTGAGAGCCAGTCATTTGCAACAACCTGGATAGAATTGGAAACTATTAAATAAGCCAGGCAGAGAAAGACAAACATCACATGTTCTCACTTATTTGTGGAATCTAGTAATCAAAACAGTTGAACCCATGGACATAGAGAGTAGGAGAATAGTTATCAGAGGTTGGGAAGGTAGAGGGAGGATGGGAGGGAAAAAAATAGAATGAATAAGACCTACTATTTGATAGCATAACAGGGTGACCACAGTCAATAATAACTTAATTGTGTATTTTAAAATAACTTAAAGAGTGTAATTGGATTGTTTGTAACTCAAAGGATAAATGCTTGAGGGGATGGATACTCCATTTTCCATGTTGTGATTATTTCACATTGCATGCCTGTATCAAAATATCTCATGGCTGGGCACAGTGGCTCATGCCTATAATGCTAGTACTTTAGGAGGCTGAGGCAGGTGGATCACCTGAGGTCAGGAGTTCAAGGCCAGCCTAGCCAACATAGTGAAACCCCTGTCTCTACTAAAAATACAAAAATTAGATGGGCGTGGTGGTGGATACCTGTAATCTCAGCTACTTGGGAGGCTGAGACAGGAGAATCGCTTGAACTCAGGAGGCAGAGGTTGCAGTGAGCCGAGATCGTGCCATTGCACTCCAGCCTGGGCAACAGAGAAAAACTCATTTCAAAAAAAAAAAAAAAAGCAAAACAAATGAAAAAAAGCACCTTATGTATCCTATAAATATACACGCATACTATGTACCCACAAAAATAATAATTAAAAAAGATAATCTAGTGAAAAGATGATTCAGGACTGATCAGAGGCAATAGTTAGGCAAAAAAATTAAAACTGCTTTGACAAACTTTTGGCAGATAAAATTTGTGATTGGTTGAATGTAGGCACTCAGTGAGAAGGGATAAAACAGAAAACTCTAGTATGGAGGACTGGGTAGATGTGACTTCCCCACACGAGAAAACAGCCATTGATTTAGGGGCAGCAATGAAGATTTTAGCTGGATGTAAAGTACCCGTGGGATGTCCAAGTTGAGGGAGCCAGGAGCAAGGTGCCTGAGCTGGCACTTCAGGGAGAAGCCTGGCATGGAGCTAGGAGGCAGGCAACATATGCTCAACGAGGAAAGAGCCCAGAGGTGGCATACAGGATAAACAGCAAGAGAAATATGAAGAGAACTAGGAAAATGCAGATAAGTAACTGCACTATCAATAAAATATTAAACCACAAATGTGAGACTCATTGCCCTGTCATGTTATCTGAGACCAATACATTCAAAAGCAAGTATAATAAAGGTACAGATGACCTGAGAGCACAGAAATGCTTAGACAAATTTGGAAAAAAAAACAAACAGACATTCCAGATGCAAACCTAGGATTGAACAATTAGTGTATCTTTGACTATCCCCCATCTCATTACCCATCCAGCCTGCATCCTGGCACCTAGACTTGAGCTCTGGCCCTCTATTACCCCCTTTAGGTACTGTCTCACCTGTCCCAAATGTGTCTTTGAATGTCCACGTAGGTTCTGAAGGTGGCCTTCAGTCTGTCATGCTGAATGAGTTAAATTTTCCAGGAAAATCCATATCCCAAATTATTGCTTACTATGATCTCCTGCATAATGTTAAGTAACTTGGGTTTTACTCTACATGCTTCCATACTGCTACAGAATAAACACTCAGCACTCGTGAAAAAGAATTTATGGCTACAGAAAACATATCCAAGACTTACACAAGAAGATTTACAGCTAAGCCCTGACATTAATTGGCTTTGTAATCCAGCTTAGCTCCTCTTGCTCCAGCTGTCATCTGCAGAATGAAGATAATGGAGCAGTGAAGTTGTCACAGCATCCGAATTACTATCCTGATGGGCCAGGTGTAGACAGACATCCTTAAGTCTGTCACTAGAGAGAGCAAAACGTCTTCATGGGGGCAATATCATTTTACAGTATTTGGGGCACTGAAATATTCCTTTCAGAGTGTCCTTACTTTACTACAAAATGTCCTACCAGGGAAAGAAAAATATTATCAATTCTATTGAAAGAAAGCATTAAAGGAATCTCACTAGCTCTTTCAGTAAAATCAATCAGGAAATCATGAATGATAACACTTATTATGCAGACATACATTATCCATCCACTCCTTTAAAAATATTTATAGAAAATTTAGGTTCCTGTGGCTGTGAAACTATTCTCAAAAAACTCTGCGTAACCTAAAAACAAACAAAACCCCCTGGGGCTCTTCCCTTTGCTCCCCAGTAATTCTCCTCTGCATTTTTAATATCTGTGTGTCACCCCCTGTCATTAATAAAGCTATCAACAGTCAGTAAAAGGCAACAGAAGTGTTTCATTGAAATCTTAATTGCCAGACATACAGAATATCTTAAAAACTGTCCTTTAAATGCCCACATTTCTCAAAATCATCTCTTAATTTTATTTACAATTACATTTTTCACTTTCTGGGTGCTCCATTTTCCATTTTTAGAATGTCTTATATATTTGGGTAGATTCCAAACAGAAAATGAGTTCCAAGCCTTGGACTGAATCACTCATTCCAATGGGTGATCCTAAAACTGAAATGCAGGCTTACCTCAAAAACTAAGACCTCCCAGCCCTCACTCTGTGCATGCAAGCTTCCACCTTTTTTCATGCAAGCTCCCCAAGGAGGACACTGCCTCTCGTGCACAGGCAGGCCCAGGAGCTGATTTGGAGATCTTTCTGGCTCTCTGTCGTCTGCAGACTTTCAGTGCTCCCATGCATAGATATTGGTCCCCTTCCTGAGGATCATAACACCTTCGAGTTCTTCCATCCTTTGAAACCTCCTCGTTGTGACAACGTTCCAGCTAGACCCAGCTTGCTTCTACTAAGTCTGTTCTGTTTACTGTCTCTTTTGTTATAAAATTATTTACTCATTTTATTTTAGTGATGTGAATTAAATGGGTCATATATGCTTTTGCTAGTAATCCAAGTGATATTGAGGTTTCTACATTTTAATAATGAGTCACATCCTCTGGTCTACCAATGCCACTTCCATCACCCACCCCTTCCTAGTTAAAAATTTGGCTAGCATCTTTCCGTACTTTTCTCTTATTTGTACAAACGTGAAATACATTTACATAAGTTCATTTAAAGGGAATGTATAACTTATTCTGAATTATGATTTATATATTCTGAATTGTGATCATTTATGTAACACAAAGCTCGCTGCTTGCAGAGTAGAATTAACAAGCGTGAGGCCTGTTAGAAAGAAAGTGACTTTATTAACCAAAACTAGTCGTGGGGAAGTGGTTGGATTCCCATCCAAAGCAACTACTTCAAATTTTGGTGGGGAAGGAAAGAGTTTAAAAAGGGAGAACTTGATACGAAAGGCATGCCAGAACTGTGCTGAGGACGATGCCTGTGCATCTTGTTCCAGTGGCTATCTTGGGTCCCAGTCCACCTGGTACATGGTCTGGCATCATCTCAACAGTGGCGGGGCTGCTGATTAGCCCTCTGAGGCCATCTCTGGAACTCTGCAGCTGGGTCTCCAGGCTTGGTCTGTCTGTCTCAAGATTAGCCCCCAAATCTTCAAAGAAGGCACATAATTAGATGCTAGCGTACAGTTAGATAAATAAGAAGGGAGTATATCTGGAGAAAAACGGAGGGACGTGGAGTCTATTTTAAGGCTAAAGGAAACAGGCTTCTGTAGTTTGCTTCAAGGTTACATCTTGAAACCCAAGAGAAAGAGGAAAAAAAAAAGTTTTAAAATGCATTTTGAGGTTATGCTGCCCAGTTACATTTACATCATGATATTCTTAAGCCAACCATCTTTTTAACGTCTCTTTCATAGTATGGATATTCCGGTTTTTATTCTACCATTTCATTACTGATGGATCTTCACATTGAATATTTCGTCACTAGAAGCAATACTGCTACTTATTTCAACGTGTATCTTGGACATTCCTGTAGTTTTATTTCTGAAGGCTAAATTCTCAAAATAGGATGGCCGTTTCATAGGAAATGCATATGTACATTTTGAAGAGATCATAAGATTGCTATCCCCCAAAATGTTGAAGTAATTTATTCCTCTATCAATAAGACATATAGCCCCTATTTCTTCAACAGCAGTGAATGATACTAAGTTGTTTTTTTTTTTTGCTGATTTGATAGACAAAAAGAGGTATTTTGTTGTTTTAATATGAACTTGCTTGATTCCAGTGAGGTCAAATGGATTGGTTGTTTTATTTTCCATTATGTACACTAGTTGTTCTGAGTGGACTTGGCAACAGTGTAGTTGAGTTTTCCCCTTTCACATTTTATAGATTAGGGATGTTAATCCTTTGTTTTATGCTTTTCAAATATTCTCTCCCAGTTTATGGTCCATCTTTTATTTCTATTTGTTATTTCTTTCACCATACATAACATTTCAGTTTTTATGTAATCAAACTCATCAGTGTTCTTGGTAATGGCTACTAGGTCTCCTCTCCTCCTTCAGAAGGCCTCTTCTATGCCATGGAGAAAATGAGGCTCGACGTCCCTCAAATTCCAGGCCATGCACCTGGATCTGCATCTATCTTCATCTTCTGTCAGTCTTGGAGAAAGCGATGTCTTCTGGTAGAAACAGAACTACCTACTGTGTTCTTCACCTCTTCATTGCTTCAGACAAAAGACTGCAAAATGACCTCTGCATGGTCACACCCAGTAAACCATTTTTAACCCTGACCTTTATTGCTCATTCTACACAGGTGACCCCTCTGATGATTTCATAGGCTCTCACTTGTGAATTCCTGAAGACATCCTGGCTGTCCTCCTCTCCCTCCAGCAATTGTATCTCAGCTTCCTGAGAGCACATGCCGCTTTTCCTCCGTATTTTCCCTTGGTCTTTTTTCATTTAATGCAGTCTTACTTGTTGACCCCCTAGCTCCCAGGACTTACAGTTTAGTCTCTATGCTGATACATGCAGACTTGACCTCCATGCTTGCCTCTCTAGCACATTCCCAGATTTCTCAGCTCCAGACCCATTTTTATACAGACTACACATCCACAACTGAGCCTGTCATCACCATCAGATATTTGGTGTCTAAAAGAATGGCCAGGGCTACATCCCAGTCACACAGGCTATAGGTCTCACTGTCTCCATGGACTCCTCAACACTATTTGTATTATAAATAAACACCATAGGATTTGTGCCCTCTAGACCCATGACACCCTATATTCCAGAACAAGAGAACAATCGGCCTGGAGGTTTTGCTTGGATCTCTTGTACACTCTTGCAACAGTCCCCCAGCAGCAACTCTCCAGTCATTCTCCATTCAGTTTTGCATTCTGTAGCCATAAAACCTGGGTCTTGACTGTGCCTCTTCCCTTGGAAAAATCCTATCTTGGTTCTATTGGTTTATAATGAAGTTCAATCTCCCTGTAAGGTTTAGGAGACCACGCATGGCTTGAATCTTACTTCTTTCTTCAACCTTGGTTCTCACTCTGCTTCCTTCTGCCTCCTCACTCTGACCATGTCCTCTCTTCAGAAACCATATCCTGATTTCCAGTTTCCTGTCTACTATGTTCTCTCTCACCTATGTACCATTGAACATGCAGTTCCCTCTGCTGACTCAGTCTTAAAGTATGATGGGAAGGCTAGAGCATCACAAAAATGCCTGGACAGTTAGACACAATTATTAATAAAAGTCAAATCTCAAAAGGCATGCTGTCTATTAATACAAACACTAAATGTAAACAAGAAAATTTCATATTAGGAAGATGAAATCAACGCTGCATTACCACTAACTTGAACAAGGGGTGGGCAATAGACACAGAAATGAAATTACCCAGTGTTGAACATTCAGATTGACTTTGGAATCTCACAGGCTTTCCTAAAAAAACACTTCTTCCCTTTAAAAAGGTACTACTGGCTTGGTGCAGTGGCTCACGCCTGTAATTCCAGCACTTTGGGAGGCCAAGGTGGGTGGAGTATTTGAGGTCAGGAGTTCGAGACCAGCCTGACCAACATGGTGAAACCCTGTCTCTACTAAAAATACAAAAATTAGCTGGGCGTGGTGGCGCATGCCTGTAGTCCCAGCTACTCAGGAGGCTGAGGCAGGATAATTACTTGAACCCAGAGAGGCGGAGGTTGCAGTGAGACAAGATGGTGCTACTGCACTCCAGCATGGGTGACAGAGTGAGACTCCGTCAAAAAAAAAAAAAAAAAAAAAAGGGACTACTTATTGTACATTTTGAATAAAAGACGAATTGAGAGCGAGGATTTGATGCCCCTCACGGCATCTTAGTGACTAAAGATTTACCATCAGGGTGGGCTCAGTTTCTTTCAGGTAAATGAAAAATGGCAAAAATAATGCCTTTCATTTCTAAACACGACCATAAAGATAAAACATAAAAAATGATGACAGATTTGACGAACTAAATCTTTAAAATGTCTGTATGCCAAAACATACACAAAAACACACATATGCAAATTAAAAGATAAGTGAGTAGGTGGAGAAATAATCATAACCAAAGAGAGTTATATCTTCAATCTATAAAAAGCTCTGATAAATATGAAAAAGATAAATACCCCCAATAAATAAGCAAAGATATAAACAGATAACTTAAAAAAAGATGATCAATAATAGGAAAAAAATCAATCAAATCACATGGAAAAGAATAAGATAACAGTTTGAATTCTAAAACTGGCAAAAATGGGCCAGGCACGGTGGCTCGTGCCTGTAATCCCAGCACTTTGGGAGGCCGAGGCACGTGGATCACCTAAGGTCAGGAGTTCGAGACCAGCCTGGCCGACATGGTGAAACCCCGTCTCTACTAAAAATACAAAAATTATTCAGGTCTGATGGCAGGCACCTGTAATCCCAGCTACTCAGGAGGCTGAGGCAGGAGAATTGCTTGAACCCGGGAGGCGGGGGGTGCAGTAAGCGGAGATCACACCATGGCACTCCAGCCTAGGCAACAGAGCAAGACTCTGTCTCAAAATAAATAAATAAAATAAAATAAAATAAAATATAATTGGCAAAAATGGGCCAGGCACAGTGGCTCACCTATAATCCCAGCACTTTGGGAAGCCAAGAGAGAAGGATTACTCGAGACCAGGGGTTTGAGATCAGCCTCAGTAACATAGTGAGGATCTGTCTCCACTAAAACTAAAAAATTTAGCCAGGCAAGATGGTGCATGCCTGTAGTCCCAGCTACTTGAGAAGCTCAGGTGAGAGGATCACTGGAGCCCAGGAGGTCAAGGTTTCAGTGAGCTGGGATCACACCAGTGCAGTCCAGCCCAGGCAATAGAGTGAGACTCTGTCTCAAAAACCTATAATTAATTTAAAAAATTTTGAAAACTAAATAAATACAATTGGCAAAAATGATTGAAAGGAAGCTAACTTCAATATTGATGAGGGTGTGCAAACATATGCACTCGCAACCACTGATGACGGGAACATAAAAACCCATTCAAAGGCTGATATATGGATATTCTCTCAACCAGCAATTCAACTCATAGGGGTTTATCAAGAGGAAATATTTGGACAAATTAAAATAATATTTAGCCACTAAAAATAGTAATCCACAACCAAAATATTAATGGTACTGAGTGAAAAACATGTACAAAACTATGTGATATATACAAACATATATATAGTATAAGCCTCTGTTTTAATTAAAAATATGAAAATTAAATGTATTAAATATAATGTATTAAAAATATGTTATAAAAGGTTATGTGTGTGCATATATGCGCATGCCTAAAATGGCCTCAGAGGACTTTGCAACAAAAGTTTAACAGTCTGGGGCCGGGCATGTGAAATTAATTATCGTTTTTAAATGTTTCTAGATCTCATACATATTTAAACAAACAGCATAAATATTTCTTATAATAAAACAGCAATACTATTTTAAATGTCTGTTTTGAGGACAATGTATTTAGGAAAATTGTATATAGAACAGGAAAGGAGTACAAGCATGGAAAAGAGGGAAGTCAGTGTTAAATTATAAAACCTGATCACACACTCTATTTGTTCATCATTTAGAATATACTTTTCAAATGGTTTCAATACAATAAAGCCTTAAATGTTTTGCTCTAAGCATTCTTGATTTGATTTTTCACACATAGTATATTTTAAGGGCTGTTCATTTGACTGCATTTGGTTCATTTAAATTCATCTCATCAAAATGCAAAATTTCTAAGAGCTATTTTATCTTCAAAAAAATCCCATTTAAGTCTAACTTATGTCATATTTTTTCTTAGAAAAAGGAAAACAAATTTTACTAAAAGTAAATGAACTTAAGTTCCAAAAGTTCAAGGTTGACACAAAAGTAACTTAAACACCATAAGACAGAAAAACATACTGGCCTTCAATTCTTATTCAAAAAGTTTATTTACCCACATATGTTTCTTTAGTCATCAGTCTACAAAACAATTTGAACCAATTTTTCCTATCTTTTAAAATCTTATGTTACATATTCTTCTTTGACATAGCAAATGAATGTTGAGCCTTTTCCTGGAAAAAGAAATCAAAGCCTGTCATTGCCATGTGCCCCTCTCCTCCAATCCTGCGACTCCCAGTCCATTGAATCTATCTGTCACTTAGTTTCAAGAATATGACATTAAACATGCTGATTCCTCTACTTAGAATGACTTTTCAAATCTTTTATCTTCCATGCCCAGCAAATACTCAGACCCAATACTCCTTCAAGACCCAATCTAATCACCTTATCTCTAGAGACTCCTAATCACTGTAGTGGAGGGTGCCTCAACTTCCTTCAGTGGACAAAATCTACATGCAACAAGTTCATGCACACACACACACACACATTCACACACAGAAATTGACACACCCACTTTCACACACATATCCAGACTCACACAGATTTACACACAAAGTTCACACACACAGATTCACACAGATTCTCATACACACTTTCACACACATATCCAGATTCACACACAGATTTACATACACAAGTTCACACGTGCACAGATTCACACACACAGATACACACATACACACAAATTCACACAGATTTACACAAATTCACACACACAGATACACACAGATTCACACACACATACATAAACACACAAATTTCACACACACAAAATCACACAGATTGAAACACACACATTCACACACATTTACAAACATATAAAAATTCAACACAGATTTATACACACGTTCACACACACAATTATTGGGCTTATATTGTAACTATCTGTTGACATGTCTTTCTTCTCTAGCAGACTCAGCTTCTTATGGAATGCCCTGTTTGCATGCCGACATATACACAGAACCTCCCCAGATGGGTGATACCCCACAACACATTCCCCACAAGAGTTTGCTGAATTGATTAAACATGACCTATCATGAACGTTATCATTATTTTAGATTATTTTCTCAGTATAATACAACTCCTTTTAAGATCCAGTCCCATAGATGTGAAGTGGGCTGAAGAGTTTGGAGTTCATATGACACAAGACACTGGACTTTCGGTGACAAGGAACCATGGTATCAGATGGTGCTTTGAAAGTAACATTGGCTGCACACAGTGGCTCATGCCTGCAATCCCAGCACTTTGGGAGGCTGAGGCAAGCAGACGGCTTGAGCCCAGGAGTTTGAGACCAGCCTGGGTAACATTGCGGAACCCTATCTCTACCAAAAAATACAAAGATTAGCCAGGTGTGGTGGTGCATGCCTGCAGTCCCGGCTACTTGGAAGGCTGAGGTAGGAGGATCACATGAGCCCAGGAAGGTGGAGATTTCTTTGAGGAGTGATTGCACCACTGCACTCCAGCCTGGGCTACAAAGCAAGACCCTGTCTCAGAAAAAAAAAAAAAAAAGTAAAGAAAATAACTTCAAGGAGGGACTGAGAATTGGGAGCAATTTAGGTGTGACCAATCTAGCATGGGGTGACAGGGACCTGTATTAGGAGGATAACAATGGCAAACAGAGAAAAAAAAAAAAATCTGTACGATGCCCCCCAGCAAGTGTCAGGAACAGGCAAGAAAATATTTTATGAAATTCATCTGGATGTGAGAAGGTCCATGAACTGTGTTGGACAATACATCAAGGGAGGCAATTAGGCAAGGCCCCTTTCCCACAGAAACCTTGAGCTACACTGTTTATATGTGGAAGCACACAAACAGCAAGGAGCTGGGCACAGGTTCTCAGCAGGCTGATCAATCTGAGGCTCCATCAGTGCTCCCTCTGCTGTAGAATCCTGAGCGCTTGCTGAGTATATAACGCCTTTGCCACTTCTTCAGAGATTCCTCCCCTCGCCCCAAAGTGTAAGACAGACATCATTCAGTGGCATGTACTAAAAATACAATGGAATGTCTAGCATACTTGCTGAATTGAGAAAACATTAATATCCCAGGCTCCTCGGGTACCAGAATGGAGTCAATGCTAGAAACCACTCTTCTGAGAAAGAGTCAAAAGTGCCACAGCAGGTTCAATGAGGGTGTCACCACTAAGTTAAGATGCTGTCACAAGGCTAATAAAAAGATTAAACGTATTAAAAGGAGAACTGATACTAAGACAAATTTGATTTCCTTTCCCCAAAAGAATACCAAGCATCTGAGATATAGGAGGTTAAGTGAAGGTCAAAAGAGACAGTTAGATTCATTCATAAGCAATTTACTTTTCAGGAGAGATTTTGAAAGATTATTTAACTTAGAATGAATAGTAAAATATTCAAGGTAGTTATATGGCAATTAATGAAAAAGTGGAAATGAATATTAAATTCCTAGCTCACCAGTGTCATGGTCTAACAAGAAAAGGAAACCAATTTCTAATTTTCCCATGGAATGACTTACATAAAGAATTTGTAGATCTTCATATACAAAGACAAATATTTAACTTAGGCCAGGTGCGGTGGCTCACGCCTGTAATCCCGGCACTTTGGGAGGGAAAGGCGGGCGGATCACCTGAGGTCAGGAGTTCGGGACCAGCCTGGCCAACATGGCAAAATCCCGTCTCTACTAAAAATACAAAAATTAACCAGGCGTAGTGACAGGCGACTGTAATCCCAGCTACTTGAGGCTGAGGCAGGAGAATCACTTGAACCCAGGAGGCAGAGGGTGCAGTGAGCCAAGATCACGCCACTGCACTCCAGCCTGGGCAACAAGAGTGAAACTCTGTCTCAAAATATATATATACTTAACTTAGATTTTAAGAGTTTTTCTCAACTAATAGAGTTAGGTAAAGTAAATTACTTAACTGAACTATCTGCACATTTTCCCCTAATTTATCTTTGGAATATAGTTATGAGAAGGCTGGTCAAAACCAAGACACAAAGGTAGACCCCAAAAACCCAACAGGGAGAGGGGGAATCATGTTTTCCCTCACATGACCTCTCTCACAAAGGGCTATAAAAGCCAAAAATTTAAACAGACTTAGATAAAAATTTGAATTATTTCCAAATGCAGAGTGCTAACCACTATAGTCAAGTCATTTAAATTCCCTGTGGTTAAGTCTCTTATCTGCAAAACATGAACATATAAATCTCTTTGATGACATTATTAAGCATTTCACACATTACATATCCATCTGAGAAGACAGCACTGAAGCAGAGAAGTCCAATATTATGTATGCAAAGGATGCCTTGCAGGAGGAAATCCTGTCCTCCTTCAGTTCTCACTGATTTATAGATCCTAAAATGTATAAAAACAAGCATTAAGTATTTTTAAAATGGAAAACAAAATACACTGGAATGAGAATGTTTATCCATGTGACTTTGCACATATGAAAGCTGAATAAATGTTCTGTATCATCCAGTTATTTCAGTTTCAGGAGTTAAGGATACTGAGGATAAAATATCCTGATTATGGTGCCTGCATTTTTGTGTTCACGGAGTTATCCTGTCATATAGATAGCCTAAGGGTCTCTGAAAGAAAAGATGGAGTTACGAATAGAAATTTATTTCTAGGACCAAATTCAAGTTCAAATTTGCATGATAATATCTGCAGTGCTTTATTCCTCTTAAAACCCAAGTTACCAAGCTCTTAAACTCAGCTCTCTTTGCATTTTAATGAACAGAGTCCAAGTCTGATGCTTAAATGGTTTGTTTTTATTTTAAGCTTTTGAATCCCGCATAAGACCTACCACAGTGCTAGGTACTCAGTGGGTCTCTAAAAAACTTATTGGCTGTTTTTAAACTGTACCTTACATGTCTCTGAATTATAACACATGATATTAAATTCAGCAGCAAGGAAAATAAGCCTTTAAGTTCTTACTTTGCTATGCTTCCTTGCTATATGGAAAGACAGTGTTTATGAAAATGTGATTGCTATGGCTTACATGTCTGTCCCCTTCAAAACTCATCTTGAAATTTGGCTGCCATTGTGACAGTGATAGGAGGTAGGACTTTTAGGAGGAGATAGGGCGATAATCCCCAAGCGGATGGGATTAATACCATTATAAAAGGGTAAGTTGTGTGCCTTTTTATCTCTTGGCCCCTTTGCCCCTGCCATTTGAAGCCTCTTTGATCCCCTCGCTCAGGAGGACAGGACGGCATACAAGGTGCCACCTTGGAAGAAGAGAACGACCTTACCAGACACAAAACCTGCTGGCACCTTGACCTTAGACTTCCCAGCCTCCAGAAGAGTGGGTCAATACATTTCTGTTCTTTGCACATTACCTAGTCTGTGATATTCTGTTATAGCAGCATAAATGCACTAAGACAATGACCATTCTATGTGGCAAAGGCTAGAAAGAGGTATAGGGTTTAGAGTTAGCTTCTGAAGTGACCAGCTAGGACAGAAACACTGCGAGAAATTCTTTGTGAATCATGGCTTTTTCATTCCTGGAGTCACTTTTCCTTCGATAAACAAACAAAACTCCACCTGTGAATATAATAGTCTCATATCCAAAAGGGCTGGCTGGTGCTGGGAGAACAGGATATATACTCCTGAAGCCTTTCCTTAAGTGGTAGAATCATTCTTCACTGATGAATCCAACAATTATTCCTGAGATTGATGTGTTGATTTAGCAATGCTCTATCACTCAGCATCTCTCTGTTTATGCTTTTCCTCTCCCAGAGGGCAGCCATTCTAAAGAGTTATCCCTCTCTGCAAGTAGCGAGACTCATAAACTCTACATGAGCATATTTAAGGACTTCCACCATTCAAATGAAAAAAATTACCAAATAGCAAATGATCCTATAAAGAAAAAATTTTCAAATGAAAATAAAACAACCCTCAGAAAAGCCATACAAAAATATAACCCACCACTATCCTCTGAAACCTTTGGAAATCTCTGCTGTCTTACTGAAGTACTTGGAGTTTTAAATGCAGTTTACTGGCTAAGACTGAAAATAGCTGGGCGCGGTGGCTCACGCCTGTAATCCCAGCACTTTGGGAGGCTGAGGCGAGCGGATCACAAGGTCAGGAGATCAAGACCATCCTGGCTAACACGGTGAAACCCCCTCTCTACTAAAAATACAAAAAATTAGCCGGGCGTGGTGGCAGATGCCTGTGGTCCCAGCTACTGGGGAGGCTGAGGCAGGAGAATGGTGTGAACCCAGGAGGCGGAGCTTGCAGTAAGCTGAGATTGCGTCACTGCACTCCAGCCTGGGCGACAGAGTGAGACTCCGTCTCAAAAAAAAAAAACAAAAAACAAAAAACAAAAAACAAAAAAAAAAAAAACACTGACTATATTTACATATGCCTGGACAGAGAACATAGAACACTGTACACAAAACATTATCTGATATACCTTTAAAGTTATTCTTAACCAACATGAGGGAAAATCTGTCATTAGTCAATAAACAAAGTCAATTGCTGAGAGGAACACTCTGTACATTCAGAAAAATTAGAATTCCTGCCTTGCCCCTAAAAAGAATTTAAACATAGCTGCTACTGATTAGAGACAGGGTATTTCAAAGTCCAGCCAGGAAAAAATAATCAGAATAATTCCCCTTGCTCCTAGATCCAGGAGTCAGAAGGTGAATCACAAGCAAAAAATTCATTAATTTATGCTTGTATATCATGATTTTCCAGCTCTCTAAATTAAGGGAAAAAAGCCAGCCATACAATGAATTGTGGGCATATCCTATAAATGGATTTTCAGAAATATTGTCAAAGTTCTTCAAATTAACTTTTCAAGACCAATTCAACAAATACCTTTCTGGGTTTCTTTCTTTTCTTTCTCTTTTCTTTTCCTCTCCTCTCCTCTCCCCTCCCCTCCCCTCCCCTCCCCTCCCCTCCCCTCCCCTGTCCCATCCCCTCCCCTCCCCTGTCCCATCTCCTCCCCTCCCCTCCCCTCCCCTCCCCTCCCCTCCCCTCTCCTCTTCTCTTTTCTTTTCTTTTTGAGATGGAGTCTCACTCTGTCGCCCAGGCTGGAGTGCAATGGCTTGGCTCACTGCAACCTCCACCTCCTGGGTTCAAGTGATTCTCCTGCCTCAGCCTCCCGAGTAGCTGAGATTACAGGTGCCTGCCACCGTGCCAAGCTAATTTTTGTATTTTTAGTAGAGACTGGGTTTCACCATCTTGGCCAGGCTGGTCTTGAACTCCTGATCTCATGATCCACCCACCTCAGCCTCCCAAAGTGCTGGGGTTACAGGCATGAGCCACTGCACCTGGCCTATAAATACCTTTCTTGGACTATATTAGAAATTAACTTTCATTTTTATCGTAAGTACTTTTAACTCTAAAATAAAATTAATATCAAATCACAGTAAACATTTAAGCATATCTAAAAATGAGTGGTTATGGGGGCCATGTCCTCCGACAGCAAACTAACTTCCCTTACACACCACATTTGTCCCGTTACCCATTGGCTGCATTTAGTTCTTCTAACTGCACCCAATTCCTATATTCTGGAAAATTCTCTGGCTCCATTCATTTATTCCATAGATATTTACTCCAATTATCTCAAGGGTAATGCAGGGCATTAGTGTTTACAAACATTCTTCAAACCTGTCATAATTCTATTCTTCTCTTATTTCCTGTTAGCAGTTATTTACATGCGTACATATGAATGATTAAAAGATATAAAAAATGCTCAGTAAATGTTGGTAATTATTTTTGATTCCACATTTCAGGGCAAATATACTGAGTATTTCATAGACTTACATTATTATTATTATTATTAATTTATTTATTTGATATGGAGTTTTGCTCTTGTCGCCCAAGCTGGAGTGCAATGGTGTGATCTCGGCTCACTGCAACCTCCACCTCCTGGGTCGAAGCCATCTCCTGCCTCAGCCTCCTGAATAGCTGGGATTACAGGCGCGTGCCACCATGCCCGGCTAATTTTTTTTGTGTTTTTAGTAGAAACAGGGTTTCACCATGTTAGCCAGGCTGGTCTTGAACTCCTGACCTCAAGTGATCCACCCGCCTCGGCCTCCCAAAGTGATGGGATTACAGGCATGAGCCACCACGCCCAGCCAATTTACATTATTTAACACATCAACCTGATTAATAACATCTCCAATATTACAAAAGCAAAAGCTGGGTTTCCATAGGATAAGTAACTACCTCAGTGTCACCAAGGCACCCAATAGAGGAGCCAGGATTCACCCCCATTTAGCCTGACCCTATGTGCTGGGTAATAAGGGGAAAGTTGTATATAAGTTCAGTAGACAAAATTAAAAGGAGGTACCTTTGGGAATGTCATAATAATGCAACGTACCTCCTTCTAACTACGTGATAAAGCATTATAAGTATCTAGATTTGATAATATCCTGATATTGGCATCTCCGAAGTTATTGTGTTTCAATAGTTAGCATTAATTCGAAACTAAAATGTACTCTGCTAATGCTATCTGTGAGAAACCACTAAAATGTTCTGCTATGATTGTCAGAAATATGTCTTTATATGTTCATGGAGAGGGCAAAGGTACACTATGAACACTACTGACTGAGACACATTATCACCCCATTACCATGTTCTGGTTGGTGAGTAAGTGTCCTGGGAATCTCAGAAGAGAAAGAGGTCCTGTGCCATCCTCTCCAATATGACTATGAGTTAAGGTCATAGCAATCAGGACTTGAAATCTACCACGAGGGGCTATAAGCCGGTTCGTAATTTGACAGCTGCTGCATATTAAATCTAATATCAAGAGCCAAACAGTATTTCTAATCAAGTAAATGGATGACTTTTTCCCTTGAAACAGAAAAAGAAGTTCTGTAAACATGTGTTTGAAGGACACAGAAAAAGAGAGAGAGAGACAGAATAAATTAGGCCAAAAGATATATGAACTGTTAAAGCTTGCAATTAAGACACTTGTTCTTGATTATTTAAAGAAATGAGTTCAGTTCCATCAACACTGACCGAGTGCCTTACATGCCCGTGATAGGCACTGTGGCAGGTCCTACTAATGCAGACACAATGCAGGCATCAGTGCTCTATTAGTCCAATGGTCATGTGAAAGGTAAGCTATATAGTTAAAATCACCAGATCCAAGTGGAAGAAGGCTGTGACTTATTCACCTCGCTATTTTAATAAAGAACTACATTTTAACAAACATTTAATTAAAATGTTTTTATAAGAACATAACATAAGCACACAGTAGCATTTATTCTTATTTTTGCTTTTTTGAGATGGAGTCTCACTCTGTTACCCACGCTGGAGTACAGTGGCGCAATCTCGGCTCATTCAACCTCTGCCTCCTGGGTTCAGGCAATTCTCCTGCCTCAGCCTCCCAAGTAGCTGGGATTACAGGCATGCACCACCACATTCAGCTAATTTTTGTGTTTTTAGTAGAGACAGGGTTTCACTATGTTGGCCAGGCTGGTCTCGAACTCCCAACCCCAGGTGATCTGCCCACCTAGGCCTCCCAAAGCACTGGGATTACAGGTGTGAGCCACCACGCCCAGCCCACAGTAGCATTTATTAAAACCTGGGGTTACAGTTGTCACTGACATAAAGACTAGTCTCACTTCTTGACCTGGTAGCAACTATCAAAAATAAAACATAGAGTCTCGGGAACAAATGGTAGTCCTTCCCCCTTACAGAACAATGGCAATAAATATATTTATGATAATATAATAGTCATAATGAAAATAAACATTACTGTGTTGTTATGCAAAGAATAGGTTAATCTGATGATTATACATGCATAATATGTGATTAAATATAAGCATAATAGACTATCAGTTAGGTTGCAGTGATTTACCTTTAAGAATATCAAAATAAACCTCCTTGATGATTACAAAATGACTTTCCTCATAAAGAAGCACAGAAAGAAAGTAATCTTGACTAGCAAAATGAAAGCTTTACTCATTTGAATTATCATGCAGAATAAAGGGAGAGAAAAATGTATCTATGTTGCAAGGAGATTATACATCTTTCATAACTTGGCTCTCAATAATACAAATAACTAGAAATTTTCATATTTTCTTTGGGAAAAAAGTTACATATCAACATAACCATACTTGAACTAAGTGAGTTTTTGAGTTTTTTTTTTTTTTTTAGATGGAGTCTCAATCTGTCACCCAAGCTAGAGTGCAGTGGCACTATCTTGGCTCACTGCAACCTCCGCTTCCTGGGTTCAAGCAATTCTCCTACCTCAGCCTCCCAAGTATCTGGGATTATAGGTGCATGCCGCCATCCCTAACTAATTTTTGTATTTTTAGTAAAGACAGGGTTTCACCATGTTGGCCAGGCTGGTCTTGAACTCCTGACCTCAAGTGATCTGCCTGCCTCAGCCTCCCAGAGTGCTGGGATTAGAGGTGTGCACCGCGGCGCCCACCGGAACAAAGTGAGTTTTGCTGTGAGAAAGGCCAAATTTCAGTAAGAAATAGGATGATCAGAATGTAATATTCCTCACATTAACAAAAAAAAAAAGCAAACAATATTAAACTAGGATTTCTAAAAAACAACTGAGTTTCCCAGGAAATGGGAACTTCATAACACTGTCCAGCCAGGTGGGCACTATGTCCAGGCAGTGTCCCTGTGCTTTGTGCGGTCCTGCTTTGCTTTATTAGAGCAGAGCTCATTTTTCTTTTTTTTGGAGACGGAGTCTGGCTCAGTCGCCCAGGCTGGAGTGCAGTGGCGCCATCTCGGCTCACTGCAACCTCCACCTCCCAGGTTCACACCATTCTCTTGCCTCAGCCTCCCGAGTAGCTGGGACTACAGGCGCCCGCCACCACGCCCGGGTAATTTTTTGTATTTTTAGTAGAGACTGGGTTTCACCGTGTTAGCCAGGATGGTCTCGATCTCCTGACCTCGTGATCCACCTGCCTCAGCCTCCCAAAGTGCTGGGATTACAGGCGTGAGCCACCGCGCCCGGCCCAGAGCTCATTTTTCATCACCATTAACGTACAGTGCCATAAAGAAAGCTTCTGGGTGGCACCTGGCACACGGTGGGTGCGCAGTAAGTTGCAGCTGTCATTACCGTCACTATGAGTGTGGACCGGATGAAAGCTGAGGTCACCATCCTCTCACTCTCTTCCACTCCCACCAGCTCTCCTCCCCCTGCAAAGCACCCCACCTTTGGGCACCATGGCTCATCAATCTTGTACTGTTATGCTCCAGCTGAAATTCTGGGATTTCTGACAAACTGTATGACTGTGATGTTTTATCTTATTACAAATTTTAGTGTTCTTTACATAGTCCCTTATGCCATAAAGCAACACAAACACATACCCTTGAGATAGTTCACATGGGGTCATACCTACGCAGATTTTAAAAATACCACCACTAGACTTTTTTGCCTTTTTCTCCTTTGTTTCATTGTAAATATCTTCAATCTCTCTCTCTCTCTCAAAAATACAAAAATGTTACAAGAAATTTAAAAAAAATAACACTGATAGCTCCTACCATCCATAAACAGATATATTCGTATTTTGCTTTCTTTCTTCCCAGTATTTTTCTTCCTCATTCACACTTCTGGGAAAAGAAAGGATAGTGACTGTATGTTTAAACAGCTGTACTCATAAGTACACTTTTTTTTTGTCTTCCCTTTTTAAACATTTAACTTTAAATTTAACTTTTAAAATTTAATATGTGTTTTTTCTGTGTTTCAGATTATTTGCAACGCATTCAAAACACATCTTTTCATGGTGTAACCGAATAATAATGAATGTGGCTCTAAGCCTTCCCAGATACTCATAACAGCAACATTTATATTAAAAGTAGAGATACACTTAGGCTTATTGTTGATATTTGCATTTGTATTCTCAATACTTTCGACCATTACTAGAAATCTGGTCTTGCAACTCTGTTTGTTTTCTCACTTTAAAACCTCCCTGGCCATTATAAACATATATTCACATATTGCTTTATGTTTTTGTTTCTGTCATGGTAATACTGTACTTGACATTTGTATCTCCAACAGCATCTGGCACAGTATTGTGCACACAGTAGGCATTAAGTAAGCACTTTAAAAACTGAACTCACTTAAGGGATTTCAATAAAAGGGCTAACTCGTTGGAAATTAAATAATTTGTGAATGAGACACCAAGTAAATGTATTAGTCACTTTCTGACTTGATATAATTTTCACGTAAGATGTGTGTGTGTGCATGTAAACACATGTGAGCTTATCTCCAAAAGTGCCAGATGTCTTTATCTTTCTTCTCCTTTCCTTTAAAATAAAATTTATATGTTTTTAATAGCAAAGTAATAAATGCTCATTATGGAATTTTTCATATATATGGACAAAAAAGGACTTTTCATTGTTCATGTCTAATAGTAATATATTTTAGGAATAATACTAACCTTCTGAGACCATAAAATTTCCATTCAGATTATTTTTCCAAATGAAAAGAAAGTATCTGAGAGAAAAATTTTAAATACCTGCTGATAAACATACTAAACGAAAAGCAAAAGTAATGACCTTAATTCCAACTTTGTATCAACCTTAATCTATCTGCAAAGTTAGCCATCTTTCTTTTTTTTATTAAGATAGTGAACCAATAAAGCAGAAAACAAGTGGCTAGTACAACATATTTCAAAGCATCCATTGATCTTGCGGCTTTCTTGCCACTTTCCATCTGAATCTTCTGTCCACCAGTCTTGAATGGGATTGCAACCTAAATCAGTTTCACTAAAGCCCACATCACACATAGACAGCTGGCTCTAGTCTTAATGAAGACTAATGAAAACAATGAAAGCCACAATGAAACCCGTAAGAAACACTGACATAACCTACAGACTCATCAAGCTTTCATCAGTACTCTGGAATACTTTTTTATTATGAGTGAATTGGTGAAAAAACAAAACAAAAACAAAACACCGCCATGACCCGGCACAGACGCAACGTGTCACTTAGGAGCACATACTCTGGGCACACAACAGCCTCATGATGATCATTCTGGCAACGTGGGAATGGCTGGCCCCACAGACTATCCTCTCCAGGCCTCGTATCAACTAGCCTCTCAGCTTGGGAGCTACTCTAGTTCAAAGTCACCAGGTCTGATGATATCATAGACACAGGTGGTCACTGTCTCATGGGGGGCCCTCCTCTGAAGGAACAGGAGCCAGATTCCTGAATGGCGCACTCCTTCCCATCAGGCTGTGCTCAAGATGCATCAGGCTGAGATTAGGCTACAAGCCCCAGATGGTTGTTAGGAAACCATTACAAATGGCTCCAAATTTAAGGATAGAGGCAAGGGACAGAGGTAGGCAAACACAGCTAGGAATACACAGGCAGAATGATACTTTCTTTTTTTTTTGTAAGTGTCACATCAGAACTTTGTTTTTCTTTATAGGTACATTTTTGTTAGTATCATCTAAACTGGCCACATGTCGTGTTCTGCTTTGCTAAGTGCTGAGTATCCTCTTCTTAATTTTTTTAAATTAAATTTAAAAAATTTTTCACGGATACATAATAGTTGTACATATTTATGGTGCCCATGTGATATGTTGTTACGTGCATTGAATGTGTAATGATGAAGTCAGGGTATTTAGGACATCTATCACATCAAGTATTCTTAAACGATGCAATTGTAAGATTATTCTTGTGAAGAAAAAAATGACTAAAAGGAACATTTAAATGGACTCATGTTCATCTCTTCTGTGTACTCTGAAAATTTTAATACCAAATATCACCTAATATATAAGCTTTTTTTTCCACAATCAATACAATGGGTGGGAGGGGGTTCACCTTGAGGTATTGAATACATTAAGAATTTAGGTTAAACTTCAGTTAAGCTAACTCAGCAGTAATTTAAAATGTTTCTACAATGAAGGATAACAATTTTGACAATTATACAGCAAGTGTGAAATAAGTAAGTAATAATAATCCTTTGTAATAATAATAATCCTTTGTAATAATAATCAAAATTAGTGATATTCTGACCCACATTCAAATTCCTATGTACTGAACTGCTAGAAAAAAAAAAAAAGGCATGTTAGGAAAAAGAAGAGATTCCAATAATAGCAGTTAGTATACAGCTTCACAGTTTACAAAGAGTCTTCAAAACCAGAACCTCATTTTTTTGTTTGTTTGTTTGTTTTGAGATGTTGTCTCACCCTGTCTCTCAGGCTAGAGTGCAATGGCACCATCCTGGCTCACTGCAACCTCCACCTCCCGGGTTCAAGAGATTCTCCTGCCTTGGCCTCCCGAATAGCTGGGATTACAGACACTCATCACCACGCCCGGGTAATTTTGTATTTGCAGTAGAGACGAGGTTTCACCATGTTAGCCAGCTGGTCTCGAACTCCTGACCTCAAGTGATTTGCCCGCCTTGGCCTCCCAAAGATTACAGGTGTGAGCCACTGCAGCTGGCCCAGGACCTCATTCTTGTAACAGCTCTGTGGAATAGGTAGGCTATTTATAATCCAATTAGATGTATTTATCTTTGAACTCATTAAACACAATTTATGAATACTTGTTTCAGGGATGCATTTTCTGGCAACCTCTTCAGATTCAGCTTTATGATGAATATCTGGTTACTTGTCCCCATTTGGGTTCTGTGGGGATTTGTACAGTCCAGCATTGTGCCGATCAGTATTGGAACTGCTCATCATGTACCTACTGACTTATCACCTGCCTGCTTCCAAACACCACTGCTTCAGAATCTGCAAAGAGTAAAACAGACACAACCAAAAGAGGTGTGTTCACTTTTTGCCCTGTACATTAGATAACCACAGACTGGATATATGGTTATTTGATGGAGAAATAAAACCAAGTAGGTACCCTAGTTCTCTTCAACCTTGACACAACAGCTTTATGTAGATGTCAACAAAAATTTTAAAAGATTCAGAAGGATCAAAAGAGTGGGACATAGAAAAGGATCAACATTAATTTTAAAAATATACTTTATTATAAGAAAAAAATAATGTGTGGTGTACAAGCTGTAAAAGGATGAAATGTAATGCGATCTCAGAATGTATGTCAAAGATACTTCCAAAGTCAGCTAACACATCACGATTACAAAGCCCACAGGACATAACCTTTAAATCCTCTGAACAATCACAGACATGCAAGGCAGGGACCATTTACAGAAGGACACTACGCGAAATGATGACAACCAGACCAAGGAGAGACAAGTGCTGCTGGATACGATGTCAGCTAAAGCATTAACTCTTCTACTGTCTGAATGTGGAAAGCAATTATATACGAAACAGAATTAGGGGTTAATTAGGAAGTATAAGAGCACAGCCCAGGAATATAGAAGTAAAGTCAGAAAGACCCAGAGGCAAGTACAATCAGCAAAGCTATCGAGGGCAATTGGGCATCTTTCTAGAACAACTGGTTGCATATGAAAGAAACAGAAAAATTTAGGTTCACTAATCAATGACAGGTGAAATAAACTGATCATATGCAACTGGATGGCACGTCTATTTTGTGCTTTTGAAAAGAACCTGAGAAGCCCTTGGTGGAATGCTACATATCTGGAAAACAATCTATCAATATCAATAATGAAAGCCATTCCATCAAACTTATAAACTTTATTTATATATTCCTCATGTGAAACTATGGCATCATCTCTCTGGACTTTACACAGTACGGTTTATCACTGAAATCTCACAATACGGTTCCACTGGGTTCAGCAAACAAAGGGCCTATTTTGTTTCTGGACCAGATCTCTTGCCTTCAAGTTGCTTGCTGGGGGCTAGATGTATGAAGATAATGAGGCTATGAAAGGGTGTGTACCAGGAGCCAGCGGGCCCAGAGGAAGGGCAACTGGCTCAAACTCAAGGGCAGTCACACCCAAAGGAGAGTCAGGATAGGGCAGGGACAGGAACAGCTTTTAGCAGAGAAAGGAAAATTTTGGTAGATATTAAAAAAGGCTAATGTCGCTTTTGTTAAGTGTGTTTCTAGATAATTTATTCTAGAATAATCTAACCATTAAAACACTCCTTTGGGCCAGGCACGGTGGCTCACGCCTGGCCTAACACTTTGGGAGGCCAAGGCAGTGGATCACTTGAGGTCAGGAGTTCGAGCCCAGCCTGGCCAACATGGCAAAAGCCCGCCTCTACTAAAAATACGAAAAATTAGCCTAGCGTGGTGGCGTGCGCCTGTAATCCCAGCTACTAAGGAGGCTGAGGCAGGAGAATCACTTGAACCTAGGAGGTGGAAGTTGCGGTCAGCAGAGATTGTACCACTGCACTCCAGCCTGGGCAACAGGGCAAGACTCTCTCAAAAACAAACAAAAAAAAAACTACCCCTTTGGAAGAGTAGTCTTAAACCTTTTTGCTCAAATTCTTCATGAAACAATTCTGAGAAAATCACATGCCCTTTGCATACTTTAAGTACAATTAACAGTATTTTATCTTACATATAAATAATTACAAAAATGTAGTTTAGATGTAAAGACTGCAAATTCTAAATAAACATTTTAGAATCTCCTAAATATATCCAATGGATCTCAATTCATGATATGATATCCACTATTATTAATTTTAAAAATACATGAACAAGTTCCTTTTAAAAGTCTGGACATTTTACAGCCTTCCCCTTCCTCTTTTCTGTTTGAAGTCTACTTCTATTGGATTTTATTGTAATATATTTTGATTCTTCAAAATCTTTCATTGTTCACTCCATATACATTTCTGCAACAAAAAAATATGTATGACTTGCATGGTAACTGAATTACATAGGCTAGTTTATTAGCTAGACCACTTAGAGGAATTTAGTATGAATGAAATGAATATGTCATCCAAGTTCACTGTTAGTTACAGAATGTTCACATGCTCAAATTGTTCCTATGATGTTAATTCTAAAAAGTACAGTGGTCAAAGCCTGAAATACTTCCTGATGTGACTGAACATGATATTTTTTGGATATTATGTAGAAATACTTCCTTTGCTTTTCCTGTGCTATAGTTAAGCTCTTCCTTTCTTAGAGCTTATTTTCTCTCTGAATAATCTTTCAGAAAATCACCTGAGCTGGGCGCGGTGGCTCACGCCTGTAATCCCAGCACTTTGGGAGGCTGAGGTGAGTAGATCACGAGGTCAGGAGATCAAGACCATCCTGGCTAACACGGTGAAACCCCATCTCTACTAAAAATACAAAAAATTAGCTGGGCACTGTGGCGGGTGCCTGTAGTCCCAGCTACTTGGGAGGCTGAGGCAGGAGAATGGCGTGAACCTGAGAGGCAGAGCTTGCAGGGAGCTGAGATCGTGCCACTGCACTCCAGCCTGGGTAACAGAGCGAGATTCTGTCTCAAAAAAGAAAATCACCTGAAACATAACTATGATATCCCTCATGGCAACAAAAAATTGTTCCTGAGTTTTCTTTTTTTCTTTTTCTTTTTTCTTTATTTTTTTTTGAGACTGAGTTTCTATCACCCAACCTGGAGTGCAGTGGTGCAATCTTGGCTCACTGCAACCTCCGCCTCCCGGGTTCAAGCAATCCTCCTGCCTCAGCCTCCCAAGTAGCTGGGACTACAGATATGTGCCACCACACCCGGCTAGTTTTTGTATTTTTAGTAGAGACGGGTTTTCTCCATGTTGGCCAAGCTGGTCTTGAACCCTTGACCTCAGGTGATCCACCTGCCGCAGCCTCCCAAAGTGCTGGGATTACAGGCGTGAGCCACTGCGCCTGGCTTGTTCCTGATTTTTCTTGAGGTTTGGCTCTAACAATTACAGTTATTGTTTTTTTTTAAATATCTTTAGTGTTGCTCTATTTGAATAATTTTAGTGTTATTTTTAAATAGAAATAATAATTTCACTGCTAATCCAAAAGTAAATAAAAATCACTTTTCCAAAGATAAAAAGTAAAGGAGTTAAGGTTGAACATGTGTTCCTCTCTGAACTAGAGTTCTAATAACACCTATATTATCAAGTCTACTTACTTTTAACAGGCTCCATTTGAGTTACTAATGCTAATGTTAATGAATAAATAAAAAGTTTACAAATAGATTCATACTTCATAGCAAAGAAAATAAGCTCATTGAATATTAATGTCATAATCAAGTTGTACAATGTATACTTTTAACTTAATCCAAAATGCCTTCACAATTTCTAACAAGTTTGCTGTAGAAACTCAG
Organism: Homo sapiens; assembly: GCF_000001405.40. Taxonomy (NCBI): domain Eukaryota; kingdom Metazoa; phylum Chordata; class Mammalia; order Primates; family Hominidae; genus Homo; species Homo sapiens. The sequence goes on from NC_000006.12 coordinate 162,595,998, forward strand.
ATACATCTGGTGAAAAAAAAAAATTCCAAATTTAATTGCCTAACACTGCTTGTAATAATAAGACTGTAACAAGATACAAAGATATCAAGAAGTCAAGACTGTAGACATCTCAAAGCAGGTCAAATAACAACATATTAAAACCCCCTTTTAAAAATATGTGGAATTCTAAATAACTTATAGGCATAAAACCACTTATTATCTGCCCCCTTCCCGTGAAATTTTTGAAATCATAAGACAATGGTTTATCAATTTTTCTTTTTCTTTTTTGTATTTCCACAAGTGACAACTCAGCAACTTGTAAATGTTTCACAATTATGCTTCAATACTTTAAAGGTAGGCTGCAAATACGAAATATTTCTTTATTATTTTCTCGCTAATCATGTCCATTGAGTGAAAGGAATAATTGTTACCATGTGATGTTTCTTACTTCATATTTACTATAATTTGATAAGTAGATCAATATTATATTTCAAGTATTTCCATTAAGTGTGCAACACAGATGCTCAAAAGGTGAAAGGCAATAACTTCCTAGGCATTGAAATAAAGCAATTGTCTTCTCTGTGACTCATTCTTTATAGAAACTAAAGCAGAAAGCATATGATCAATGTTCCTGTAGTGTGAATTTTCTACCATAAAAGAAAATGCACACATTTTATATTAATGGTGGAAATCAGGTATCTGACTATCCTAGAATAGCTACCCAAATCTACCCTTTTCATAGAACCCAATAGGCATTTAATCTTAACTACAGTCATATTGAGAGGCATGGTTTTAAAATTAGGACAGCAGAGAAAGCTTAGATTCTCCTGGCGCTAAAGGGTGAATTATTTCTACCAGGGGCCCAGAGAAAGGGACTGACTTCCCAAGGAAAGGAAGCTTCATGCATGGGGAATCCGATCCCCGCCACCTCCTACATACAAGAGGGTCACAGAATATTGGTGCAGAAAGACACTATACTAGTTCCGGGTTTCAGACACACGTGACCTTCAAGAAATGCAGGGCTCCTCCCAAGTCTAAATAGTTATCAAAAATCTAACTTTAGGAAATGTTAGTGAACTAGTTCTAGTAACTAAAAATAAACGAACCATTAAAGCATGCTTTCTTTTATGCTACTACAGTATTTGTGTTAATTTAAACTTGATTTTTTCTCTTAACCTCTATGGAAATGGACAAAAGATACAATGTTACCTTATATTTATATGAAATGTACGAAAGTTAGGCAATGCTTCCTTATTTTTTTAGAATATGTGGAAAAAAATAAACAGGGCTACTAGGCATTTTCTCCTAGGCCAAACCTGGCAAGTCGTCTATTTTCCTATTCTCCAGGATAATTTAACAGACTTTAAACTTTTCTACTATTTTAGATGTATTTTACGAGGTGGAATTAAAAATGAACATTGAAAATGGCATAACTGTTTCATATCCTTAAATATTTTTCCCAACTCTTCTTTGAAATGGTTAATTATGCACATAAAGAATAGTTTTGATTCACAGATTTGACTCTGCTGTGATTATATATTTGAAGACCTTTCTTATTATGTGTCTATATTGTATGAATTTTGCTTGTAATACAGTAAATACAGTTTTGTCTAATTGTTTCATGCCTAATGTTTCTGACACGCTATTTATCTGTTTTGAAATGCACCCTCCAATCTTGATTCTTACTCCCAACAGACATAGATTGAACTTTTATCATATACAATTTTACTCTGCACAATCTTGATCACTATTCAGTAATATGTGGCAATGTTAAACTCCATAATAACAAACCAGGGCCTGGTCCCCCACAGGGTGACTTCCACTAAGTCCTTTCAGGTTACAAAGGAACTGTCATTATTCCTGTGATTATAGGTAAAAATAACCTGCAATAGAATTCATTCCTAGATAATGACTAGTATTATTTTACAACTGTCTCTTTTCATCCAGACATAATTTTCATCTAGAATTATAATATATTGAGCATTTTCAATGGTATTTTACAAAAAACAAGTTTTTATCTGAATTAAAATTAACGAGCCTTTATCTGAGTTAAAATAGAATCACGATGGAAATGAATTCATTTCACTGTGAATTAACCAACATCCACTGAGATCAAAATCACCATCTGTGTTGCCAAAGGAAGTGTAATATTTGTGCATCAGCATTTTCATTTTAAATTTTAACTTTCTTATAAATTTCTGAGAAATTGTTTTAATCATATCATGGAAGTCTACTATTTGAAGTAACAAATATATGGGCCCCTTCAGGAAAAAATAGGCTCCTATGCAATCGTTTTTATTTCTTAATCTACTGAAAGAAAAAATCTTGAGTTTCCAGATTTTTATTCATTTATATACTATTTCAACCAGCCATTCAACAATATTTGATCTGAGGGTCTAGTACATGCCAGGCACTCACAACTGTGAATACAGAAGTGAAAAACACAGAAAAATTGCTCCTCATGGAGCTTACATTTTAGAGGAGCTTTTGGAAGATGAAAAAGATAATAATAGCAAGTAAATAATAATTAGTTCTATAAATAACAGAAAATATGAAGCCTAAGAAGTTCATGAAATAGAAAGAAGTTGTTGCAAGGCTGGGCACGGTGGCTCAAGCCTGTAAACCCAGAACTTTGGGAGGTCGAGGCGGGCGGATAACCTGAGGCCAGGAGTTTGAGACCAGCCTGGCCAACATGGTGAAGCCCTGTCTCTACTAAAAATACAAAAATTAGCTGGGTGTGGTAGTGCATGCCTGTAATCCCAGTTACTCGGGAGGCTGAGGCATGAGAATTGCTTGACCCGTGGAGACGGAAGTTGCAGTGAGCTGACATCACGCCACTGCACTCCAACCTGGGTGAAAGAGTGAGATTCTGTCACCAAAAAAAAAAAAAAAAAGCAATTGCAGAATAATTAAATGATTAAATATTAAATGATTAAATGCAGGCCAAAGGACTAATCATGTGCCCTTCCCTCCAGACAAATTACAGTACGTTCAAGAATGTAGGTATCACTCCTTCCCTTTCTACTCCTATACTGAAAGAGCTTTGCAAGTTTCACATATTATTTTATGAGGTCCCAGTATACATCCTAAAAATGTAAAAATCTTTTCCAGTTTCCATTTCTGGACATATGATCAATTAAACTGTAATCCTTCCTGCTACAAAACACCAGAAAAGCTGGCTCGGTGATAAGAAGCATTTTCAAATGTTGAAGTCATTTATAAAAAGAAATCCCCAGGCAGTTAAGAAACAATGAGTGGACACAAAATAAGAGCTAACCCAGAAGATAATGACACTTCCCCTAAATTGGCTAGTCCCGGCAACCAGTAGGCTTGAAAGCTGTGCCCTCAAAAGGCTGTGGCCTTGATGGTGGACCAGGAAAGTCCACCCGACCTCACAAGCAGGACAGGTTGAATTTGCGTGTCTTTTGTCCAGAATCTGGGCAAGAAAAATGTCTTTCCAGATAACAGAATGGGGTTCAAATTGACATACTTTCAGGTCCAGACATCCTTAAACAGAAAAAATAACAACAACAACAACAACAACAAAAAGCAGTCTCAACCAAATAATACGCCCGGCAGAGGCAAACTCGAAAGCATGCTGGAGAAAGATCCTGTCAAGGCAGGCTGCGTGGGTTATTCAGTGACAGAGCCCAGGTGAAGATGGGCTCACAAGTGAAAACGTCAGGGTACACGACAGCACACGTGGCCATTCTTCCCGAAGATGTCAATCAGAATATGGGCAGAACTCTGTCAGCGTAAATATGAAGCAGAATTCACGCTCACTGTTTTATGCTTGATGCCTAATTTCAACCATCAACAACAATAGTAACAACAAAACAGAAATGATGAAAAGTCTTCTAGAATATTTACAAAGCATATACTTCACTAGTTTCTAAAGGTGGAAATCCTAAGAGTCCTAAAATTATTAATTCAGTTAATAAATTCATCCTTGAAGAAACCATGTATCCAAATACCAGGCCAGGTAACAACCAATTTTTAAAATCTATTTTTAATTGATGTTTCATTTATGTACAGCAAAATGTACAATTCCTAAGTGTTCAGCCTAATAATCTTTTATACATTTATATACCCATCTCATCCCAACACAGATCAAGATGAATGCTTTCATCACCCCAATAGCTTCCTTGTGCCTCTTTCCAGTAACAGCGTTCCCTAACTCTCAGCAGTAACCCCTTTCCTGACTTCTATCACCAAAACGTGGTGTGGCCTATTCCTTAACTTCATGCCATCACGTGGTATACTCGTGTTCAGTTCCTTTCAACCAGCATAGGGTTTTGAGTTCAACCATATTATTGTACATATCAGTAGTTTATTTTTTAATTACAGACTAATAACCCATGATTTGATTGTGCCACAAATTGTTTATTCTTTCTTTTGTTAATGGACATATGAGATGTTTCCAATTTGGGGCTATTATGAATAAAGAAGATGTGAACATTTTTGTACAAGTCTTTTTGTGGACATACACACTTACATCTCTTAAGTGTATACGTAAGAGTACTAAGTCAGATCCCATACCCCAAAACGCTGTTCTGATTTATTTTAATCACAGATGGTGATGTGGTTTGGATCCGTGTGATTTGGATCACCCAAATCTCATGTTGAAATGTAATCCCCAATTTTGGAAGTGGGGCCAGATGGGAGGTGCATAGATCATGGGGGCAGTTTCTAATGGTTTAGCACCATCCTCTCAGTGTTGTTCTCATGACAGTGAGTGAGTTATCGTGAGATCTCATTGTTTAAAAGTGTGTAGCCCCTCCCCCTTCTCACTCTTCCTCCTGCTATGGCCATTTAAGATGCACCTGCTTCCCCTTCGCCTTCCACCATAATTGTAAGTTTCCTGAGGCCTCCCAAGAAAGAGAAGCCTCTATGCTTCCTGTACAACTTGCAGAACCATAAGCCAATTAAACTTCTTTTCTTTATAAATTACCCAGTATCAGACATTTCTTTATAGTAGCGTAAGAATGGATAACATAGCTAGTATCTTAGTACATTTTCTGTTGCCATAACACAATACCGCAGACTGGGTAAATTATAAATTACAGAAGTTTATTGGGATCCCAGTTCTAGAAGCTGAGAAGTCCAAGAACAAGGCAACGGCACCTGGTGAGGGCCTTTTTGCTGCATCATAAGATGGTGAAGGGCACACATGTCAAGAGGGCAAAAGCATGCGCGTCAGCTTGGGCCTCTCTTCTTCTAAAGCCGCCAGTCCCATCATAGTGGCCCCACCCCGATGACCTTATCTAATCCTAATTACCCTCCCAAAGGTCCCACCTACAGTCAATATATGAATTTGGGGATTTGGTTTCCAAAACATGAACTTTTGGGGGACACATTCAAACCACGGTAAATGGGTTTTGTTTTAGAAATTCATATGTATAAAAGTATAAAGTATGTAATATTTGTTTAAGGCTTCTCTTACTCCGCATGATGATTTCTGAGGTTCATCCATTGTTGTGTGTATAATTAGTTCGTTCCTCTATCTTGCTGCTGATGGGCAGTCTTGCACAAGTACTTCCGTGGACATATGTTTTCGTTTCTTTTAGGTTAGAGAGGGGCCATGTTTCCCTTTCCTCGAACCCTCTTCCCAACTTTCTCTCATAAGACAATGAATTTAAAATGTTTTCTGAAGTATAGCTAGGATCTTATATAAAAAACAATTGTACTTTTCATATATGAGCAGTACATTTTTATATATGAGGAGTACATTTTTATATATGAGGAGTACATTTTTATATATGAGGAGTATATTTAAAGGGTGAATGCTCAGAAAATATTAATAAGACACCCCTAGATTTTACTATACATATTGCATATTTATCAGATTTTCAGGGAAGAATTGTGATTCCATCAGTGTCATTTATGAATTTATCGTATCTTTAACAAACTGCAAGTTTTGACAAGGCAGTGTTCCAATCTATCATGTGTTTTCTCACCTGAAGACTCATTTATTCAACAAATATTTATCAAACATCTATTTTGTGCCAAGGATTGGGAGTACAGGAACACACAAACTATTCACTCCGTAGTTGAAGAGCAGAGGGTGTGGTACAGCTAATACAGCAGGCAGTCACATACATCCCCATGTCATAAATGCTAGGACGGGTATCCCCGCATGGTGCCCAGGGAGCGTGCAGGAGAGAGCACCTCCGCGTAGTCCCAAAGAGTCAGAAAAGAATCCAGGGAGAAACAACCTCTGGGAGCACCCTGGGTCCTAAAGGCTTTAGCCAGATGAGGTGGCGTTGAGAGGGAGAGAAGAGAGAAGAGAAGGCAGGTAAGGGTTGTGGGATGGACAAGGCAGAATGTTTCAGGCAAACAGAGTGTCATGAATTAAAAGCTGGGAAGCAAGGGGAGGCATCAAGTCAGTAGGAGTGGAGAGCAGCATTGAAGGTGAGGGTAATGAGGGGAGGCCACAGAGGTGGGTGAAGCCAGAACACTGTGTCTTGCATGTGGTTTTGGAGAATTAAGAGTTTGTTGTGAAGGCTCCAAAGAGCCACTGAGGAGTTGGGGCAGCCCAAATGTGTGATTTGGAATCATCATTCTCACTGCAGTGGGGACACAGAGCGGTGTGGGACAAAGCAGGAACAAAAAGACACAAAGACACATTAAGAGTCCATTGTAGGTATCTGGGTTAGAGAAGTTGTTGGTCCTGAGCTATCATAGAAGTGGGCTAGAAAGTGAAAACCCATGTCTATTCCTTTACCTGTCTTCTACAACATTTTCACATGCAAACAAACTAAAATGTATTTAATCATAAGAAAATCAGGTAAGCTCTTTTCAAAATTAAAATATAAGCCTCAAAGCACCAATGGGTCTCAAAAGCAGAGAGTGGCCTTTTAGAAAGCAATGGGGGAACAAAGTTCGCAGCTAAATTGGTGTTCTTGGCTTGGCGATGCAGAAAGTAAGAGGCTGCAGGACGGCAACCATACTAAGTGTGTCACATCCTCTCCGCCTGGGGTTCTTGGCTGACATTACCCATCACAAGGACCGCACAGGGTTGGTCCAACTCCCAAACCCCAGAAGCTCCAGGATGCATTGCTATTATGCCAACTTTTAGTTTTCACACAAAACAAAGGATTTTTTCTTTTGGTTCGTGGGGTGTTTCTTATGAATGAATTGTGTATAACTCAGGGAAGAGTTCCCTATCTGAGTATATTACTGTTGAGTGACAGATTTCTCAGTTGTGAATTATTAAGGTTGCAGAGATACCTCTAAAAGTGGCAGGTAACAACTAAAAAACAACAGTCTGCGAATTCCTACATATTTTGCTACTAAATGACATCAGCTGGAGCCATAGTCCTCAGGCCTTAACTACCAAAAAAGTTGAGGAAATACATACTCGCTTTCTCTTCAGCTTTTCCCCTAAGCCAGAGGTTGGCAAACTACAGCCTACAAACCAGATGCAGCCTGCTATTGGTTTCTGTAGAGCTGTGCTGGAACCCAGTCCCACCCGTTCATTTACATGTTGTCTTTGACTGCCTTTGCATGAGAGCATCTGACCTGAGTAGATGGGACAAAGAACCTTACGGCCCCCAAAGCTGAAAATATTTACCACGTATCCCTTACCAAAACACATGCAGGTCCCTGCTCTAAGCGATGCTGAAAAATAACATCTAAAGTATCCTGTTTTCTAAATTTACTGAAACGAATAACAATGATCAAACATTGAAATTGCAAAAGAAAAGTTTTAAATTCCCCAAAGCAACTTCCCATATCTTCTTTTTACTGAGATGTATAAAATTCATGAGCTGCTTGAGAGAGTAGAGCACGCTGGAAACCACCCGCACGTGCCATCCACAGATGGGAAGGGCTGTCACATTTCTGAAAGGGATCCTGCGGAAGCTGATTAAACTGTTAGAAAACCATTTAAGGGAGATCTGCCAGACCCCACCAACAGACTCAGATTTTAGAGGACAGATATTTCAGAGGAGTTTCATGAGGCATTTAAAAGAAGTTCAGATCCTTAACACTGCGAGGATGGATACCAAGCAGAGGCTCACGAACACTTTTCAGCAGAGTTATTAACCAAGTCAACACCTCCCTCTGTTGCCTGACTTGAATGCAGAGACAGGTGTGTGAGTTCGACCTGAGGACCACACTGCACCGCAGCAATTGCACCTGTCTGACCACAGCAACCTTTCCTCTCTTAACAGTAAAGCTTCATGTACTCCTTGTACATGGCAAGTACCTGCTTTCATAAATCAGGGCAAGAAATGGCAAATCTATCTTAATTTCCACCTCAAAAAGAATCACTGAGCACCGTTTTAAAGGGTCTCAGCACTGATCCCCTTGGGTATTCTCTGAGGCACCTGTGGTAATCCTTATTTGTTTCGCAGCCTGTGCTGAATGAAAACCATCCAAGTCAAATACCTTGCTTTCCCCTGTAGCTTCCCCCACTCAGTTTGCCTTCCAGGGCTAAGACAGCATGAAGCACAGAATATTGATTGGAAAAGCACTGCAGACTCTTCGTAAAGCCAGCCAAATTATCATCTACCATATATGTTCCCACATGTAATAAGAAACCTGATTGATTCATAAATTTTAGAGCATATTTCTAGAAATTAACAAAATAAAATCTTTTCTGGGTCCATGTTTTTCCCCCACACTCATCCCCTACATATGAAGTCTCTGGTGTGTCAGCTCGTGTGTGACAGACAAACAATAGCCTTTTCCCCACAGGCCCTGTTTCTTTCTCTCTCCTTTTTTTTTTTTTTTTTAACTTAGACCCTGCCATTCATTTTCACCTCTGACAGTAAAACCCCAGGACAAGATTGTCACAAAAAGGATTATCTTTCAGATCAATGGTGAAATTGATTTGAAACCCCACTATTTATCAGCCTCCAGCAAAAGTGCAACTGGTTAGGAAATATGTCCTTTCACACTCATGTTATGCTCAGTTCACCCAGGCAGCACTTCACTTCATTTCACATAAATGCAATAACCTGGCCTTTTACTTAAAATTAAGTCATTTTCCACATAGATTTCTATTTTTTTGTTAGAATATATGCAAAATGAGGATTCATACTCCAAAATTACTTGCATGTATTTCTAATCATAAAGTATATATCACTTGCCAAAAGTGATCTTTTCATTATCCTTTTATAGGTGATAGAGAATCCTTTACTTCTAGCTTAATATAATAGACCAGGTATAGATGATTTTTTCAGTTAAATTTTCTAACCCTGAATATGAAGGCTAAAATATAGACTAAATGGAAAGCTCCAGTAAGAATAGAGAAGATTAACTAACTACTTTCATCCTACTTCTCAATATATTTTTGGTCTCCCACATTGATTCCCATATTAATTCCCTTACCCCAAAACCCAAGAGAAAATTTATTCAAATTACCGACAATGTTACTTGCCTAAGAGTTATTTTAACCACAGAGTCCAATAGCAGTGAAATTTTATCAATATCAACTAGGTAAAATAAACCCAGAAAACCCAGGGTATCAATTCCTTGGTATAATTTAAATAAATTAATTTAAAACTAAAATTCTAGTCTGTCTATTCAGTAATTCAAAACACCCTAAGAACTCAAAATACTAAAGACAACTGTGTAAGTGATTTTTAATAGGTTGATATAATTCATTAAGAAACCAATTACCACAGGTAAAAGTTAAAGAAACAGTGTAAGAGCTCTTTTAGCAAGAAATGTTTACCTGTATACTTATATAGACATATATGTGAAGTACTAGGGTAATGATTTATTATACCCAAACAGCAAATAAACAGCTAAAAAGAAAACAAATATGTCAAAATGATATATTCATATCACGTGGCCTTGTACAAACATTTTACAATGTCTAGTGTACAAATTTTAAGTTCCTTAAGCCAGAAATAAAAGTAGACAAAAATTTGCCAATGGCTTCTATTTTAAGTATTCATATTTAAGCCAACTATTTAGACTAATATGTATTTTCTCATAAAATTTGACTATATTCAGTGACAAAAATTTTATGTAACCAAAATGCCACTGAATTCAAATGCAGAGATTCAAAGTTTATTGTTAATCTTAGATTCCAAGGCCATACAGCAAAACCTTTCATCCAAGATTAGATTTGCATTTAAAAAGATCAATGTGCCTACAATGAACAGAATGTTTGAAGAAGAAGCAAAATAGATGTGAACAAACAAATTCGTAGATTAACCACTCTATCATCTTTTGCCTCTCACTGAATTACAGATGCTCCTTAACCTATGATAGGGTTACATCCCAATAAACCCAATAAACAAATTTAAAATACCCTAAGTTGAAAGTGAATTTAATACACATAACTTACAAAATATTATAGCTTAGCACAGCCTACCTTAAACATGCTTAGAGCGCTTAGATTATAGCCCACAGTTGGTCAAAATTATCTCACACAAATCCTATCTTATAATAAAGTATTGAATATCTTATGTAATTTATTGAATACGATATTGAAAGTGAAAAACAGGATGGCTGTATGGGTACTTGAAGTAACGTTTGAACTGAAAGTGTATTGCTTTCACACCATTGAGAGGTCATAAACTTGTTAAGTCAAACCATTGTAAAAGCCAGGGACTGTCTGTAGTTCAGTCAAGAAAAGATGATTGATTGGACTAGGGATAGTGATGGGGAAGATGGAGAGTCACAGATGGGAGGAAAAACTGACAGGACTTGGTGATAGATTTGATATTGACATGAGGAAGAGAGAAGTTGCAAGGCAGATTCCCAGGTGAACAGTTGAGCAGTATAGTTATTTATTATTTTTTGAGACAGTCTCACTCTGTCACCAAGGCTGGGGTGCAGTGGTGCAACCTTGCTTCACTGCAACCTCTGCCTCCTGGGTTCAAGTGATTCTCCTGCCTCAGCCTCCCAAGTAGCTGGGATTGCATATGTCATCACGGCTGGCTATTTTTTGTATTTTTAGTAGAGCCAGGTTTTCACCATATAGGCCAGGCTGGTCTCAAACTCCTGGCCTCAAGTGATTCACCTACCCTGGCCTACCAAAGTGCTGAGATTATAGGTGTGAGCCATGGTGCCCAGCCCGGTTATTTATTGAAACAAAAACACTGGAAGAAGACCCAGCTTGGGAGTGGGTGGGTGGGAGAAGAGATCCTGATTTTAATTTTACACGGGTGGGGTTTGAGGTGCCTTTTGAGACATCCAAATGTAGAAGTCACAGACACAAAGAGATCTCTGGGTCTAGACTAGAGATTGATTCATGAATCATTTGGATACTGCTAGTTATGAATGCCATGGACATAAATGACATTGGTGAGAGACCATCTAGTGAGCTTCCAAAAAAGACAGGAAAACACATGGCCAGAAAAGTAGAAGAGCTTGTGTCACCAAAGCCTGAAGAAGGATGATGCTGGTGCTGGATGTTGCTCAGGTGGCACTGGTAAACTTGGTAGAAGTGAATACTGTGGAGATAAGAGGTTAGACAACATACTAATATTAGGTGGAGACAAAGCAAGTGAGACCAGAAGCACAACTTTACCCATTCCAGAGGTGTTACTGCCAAGGTGGGAAGAGAGTCAGGGTTGTTTCCAAAGAGAGAGAGAAATTAAATGAGTTTTTTTTTTTAATGGGGGAAACCTGGGTCTGTTTAAAAACACATGGAAAACATCCCACTGATAAGATGAGGCTGAATATAAAAGAAAAGGGAGGATAATCAATAGAGTTAACTTTCTTAATAAACTAGAAGTGATGGGATACAAAGCAAAGCACCAGTGGGAGATTTGCCTTAGGATGCAAGGAAGCTTGGATGGGTTTAGGTAGGTTTATTTGCTTGGTATCAGGAAGATGAGGGAGTTTCCATATGTTACTTTTCATTTCCCATGTAAAGTAGGAGAAGAGTTCATCTGCCAAGACTGAGCAGGAGTCTGGAAAAGAGAAGGGAAGAGGTATGAAACTGTTGTTGTGAAGACTGGGAAGAAAAGCTGATCAGAGATGCCTAGCAAGAGATGGGACAAGCAGTGCTGAGAGCTCATTTGAAGCTGGTGTTCAAACATTAACATAGAGCCAATTTGTCCTCTTGGGCGTCTTTCTCCAACATCTTGTGGCTGCACAGGTTGAAAGGCCAAATAGTTGGGTTCTTCCAAGTTTTGTGTTTTTACAGAAGACAGCAATGCAAAGATTGAAAAGCAAAGGTAGATTCTAGGCCTACTCTAACACAGAGCATAAACAATGGTGTTATTGAAGTTATGGACCAGGGAGTCAGGTGGAGAAAAGAAAAAGGGAAGACTGACGTATCGGGAGAAAATACAGGAGTCAATAGACTGGAGGTCCTAATGTAGTCCCAAAACAGTCCCAGTGACAGGGGTTGAAAGCGTAAGCTGGAGTATGTTCACTGGAACAGGTGAATATACCGACAAAGTCAGGACGTTAATGTAGGACCCTGTGGCTCAAGGACAGGAAAGGAAGCAGTGAGAAGATGGGAGGTCAAGGTGTCGGATGCTAAATCTCCCAGGATAATGGGAGAGGTTCGAGTATAGACAGAGATTACAAACAAGGTGTCAACTCTTCTGTGAGCAAGAAAGAATGTGGTGATGACACAGGAGACTAAAACTTGAATGACATAAACCTCAAATGATCATGTTTTGCAAAAGGTTAAAGGACAAATAGTCAAGAAGCAGAAATTCAGAGTAAAAATGTCACCAATCCCAATTCTTGGCCCTGGGTTAGTTGGATGAGAATGTAAACATTCATGACTTGAAGGGACACTTCCAGGAAATGGGAAACCTCAGATGTGAGCCAGGATCCAGCTAAGAATAAGAGAGGAAGTTAAGAACATAGGGAGGCATGCTGGTTATGGAGTGGAAGTCTCAGTAGAAAAATCATGCAAAACATGTGTGGGTGGTCAGAAGAGAGTACACAGCCCTTTAGGACTGAAGGGACAGGAGGGTATCTACTGGGGCATGGGACAGGAGGGTATCTACTGGGGCATGGGTCAGTAGCACAGGGGAGAAAGTCTCCACGTTTCCTGGGAGTGGATGAGCAAAGGCCTCGCCTCTCTGCCAGTGAGGCTCTCTTCCTGAGAAGAGACAGTGTGCTGGCAGCAAGCACTGGTTCTGCACCACCATCTCAGCTTCTTCACAAAGAGGACCAACTTCCAGATAGAAGAGAAAAAGAAGCTAGAAAGAAACATAAAGGCAACCTCATCAAACCCCTTTCATGTACAGAAGATAAAGTGCAGGCCCAGGGAGCTTAACTGACCTTCTCAGGGTCATGCATTTAGGAAAGGGGCAGGACTAACTTGAGCTCAAGTCTTTTGGTACCCAGACCACAAAGGTTTCTGATATTCCATCTCTTCCTGACCTCGCCTTAGACTGATTCACTGCAGACCTGAAGAAGTAACCCACGAAAGTGGGAATTAAACTGGACATTTGACTCAAAAATATTTTTATAAATTAGAAATTAAACAGAAAAGAATAGCAACTTCATATAGTTTATAATCAGAAGAGGAGTTTGTGGCTTTTAAAAGGTAAAAAGAGTTTATTTTACTTACGATGCTAAATTTACTCCTATAGTTATGATTCTTCATTGTCCTGAAAGTCAAATATCACTAACACTGATATCAAATTGACTGTGCATTGGCCTCAAACTGCCTTTTTAGGTAATCTCTCATTATTGTAGGATCAAAATCAACATTTTAGCCAAGCTTCAACACAAACTTTGGATATTTAAATTCTTATTTTTAAATTTACATTATTCTTTATGAAAATTGACTACTATATTTAAAACACATAAAATACATTAAACAAAATAAAACTAATGCTCTACAATGATTTTATTGCCACAGAAATCTTATTTATCTTTGTGTAATCTATTTCACTAGGTTAGTACCAGTGATTCTGGCAATACCCTAAGACAGAATAAATGGTAGGCAGCTGTGACATATCACAACTAAGCGTTCTTAAACGCATAACACAGACATTAAGTAAAAAACAACATTAGGGCGATTATACATTAATTACATGGATACGTTTTGGAACAAAAGTAATTTAAATTGCATTTTCCATAGTGATACTTTGAAAATTCTTACCATTTCATGTATGTTTTGAAATCATTTGAGATGGATGAAATGTAAGAGAAAGAACGCTCTTACAACAACAACAAAGCTCATATTTACATAGCATGTACTCTGTCAGGTACTGTTATAAATGCTCTGCAAATATGAACTCAACCCTTCTTCACAACAACCCTGTGTGCTAAGCACTGTTGTCCCCATTTAGTGACGACAAAACTGAGACCCAGAGAGGGTATGTAAATCATCCAAGGTCACACAGTTGGTTAGTGGTAGAGGCAGGATCAGACCTCAGGAGGACTGCCTCCAAAATCTAGGCTCTTCACCACATGCTATGGTTCTGTCCTAAGCAGGATTTTATTTGTAAAAATAGCTCTAGAAATCTTACTCGCTAATAAGTTTATAACGAATGTGCTGCTACGCTGTTAGAGGTCACTATTCCAACATGGAAGCAACCATGTCCTGCTACGATTCCTCACCAGGCTCACATATTGTATAATATTAACAAGTAACGTTAAACTATAAAACCATTTATACACAAATGAAGGATTTCTTGTGGTATAATAGTAACCATAGCAACAAAGTAAGATGGGTTTGCAAAGTGAAAAGTATCCTAAGGCATTTGATGCCCTCACAAAAAGCTTTCTCTCAATTTACAAGAAGATGTAACCAGTAACAGCAAAATAATAGTAAATTTTCAAAACAGATTATATTGCTATCTAGATTAGCAATATTTCATGTTAGCATTTTTATTTCTAAAAGAACAAGGGGCTATATTCAAATTGCTCCCATTTACATCTCTATAGCAGGAATCCTTAATTCATTCGAGATTTTATGATAAATTTTGACTAAGGTAACATTTTTTAAAAATCATGATATGTACATAGGTTCAATGACAAAAATATGCAATTAGAATAAAGTTGTAACAATATCACATGCATCCTACATAAGTATAATGAGTAGAAATATATACTTAGCATACAGGAGAATCATAATTATCTTTAGATTTATTTCCCTAAGAAATAGATTTTATTTTTTGTATATCAGAACTGATTGTGAAGAATAGGCCTCACTGGAGAAATAATGTGTTGAATCCTTTTGTAATATCTATTGGCAAAGGAACTATACAATTGCTTAAGTAAATAAATATTAAAGACTGCTAGTACCATATATAGAATTAATAAAGAAAGAAATATTAAGGGAGGGCTCTGCTTTTGCTACAGGGGTTTCTCGAGCCTTGTTCTCTTCAATGTATATCAATGAATGGATAAATTAAAGTAGCTTATTGCTTTTCAAATATTTGGATGATAGAATAAGAATACAAAATTCAGATTGCTACAATGTGCTGATCTTATTAAGCTGAAGTTTAATAGAAGTAACTGTGCTAGAGTTTCGAAAAACAACATACAACTAGCAGAACTAAGGAGATTTGGTATTAACTGACAACAGCTTCCATACAAATCAACAGCTTATAACCATTCACAGAGTAAATATTATCACAGGTGTATCAAGGGTGCATTACACTCAGAAGGAAGGAGCCGCTAACCTACCCTACACTATCACATCACACCTCCAGTACAAGGGCATTGTATTTCAAGAAGGACACACACACTGAGGGACATTTACAAGAAAAGTGCCAGGATGATGGTGGATTGTTAAAATAATTTCATGTGAGGTGTGTGTCACACTGAGAAAGGTCCAGTTCCACTTGAGAAGTTTCCTGAGGTCAGGGACTGACCACATCTTAGTTTTGTCATCAATACCAAGTATGCAGTAGACTCAAGGTAAATGTTTGTTGTACAAGTGAAGCGATTAATAAATCTAAATGTGCAGAAAAAGATACTTAGTTATGACAAGAGTGTGAAAATCTTCAAATACTTGAAGGAGTGTATATAAAGAAATGATACAGCGGGGCGTGGTGGCTCACGCCTGTAATCCCAGCACTTTGGGAGGCCAAGGCGGGCGTATCATAAGGTCAGGAGATCGAGACCATCCTGGCTAACACGGTGAAACCCCGTCTCTACTAAAAATACGAAAAAAAAAAAAATTAGCTGGGCGTGGTGGCGGGCGCCTGTAGTCCCAGCTACTCGGGAGGCTGAGGCAGGAGAATGGCGTGAACCCGGGAGGCGGAGCTTGCAGTGAGCTGAGATCGCGCCACTGCACTCCAGCCTCGGAGACAGAGTGAGACTCCATCTCAAAAAAAAAAAAAAAAAAAAAAGAAATGATACAAATTATTTATAATAATAGAACTTAAACAGAACCTCCATAATAGAACCAGGACCAAAGTGTGGAAGCCACGGGAAAACAAATTTCAATTCAAAAGACCATCTAGTCAGGGCTGTCCTAGGATGGAATGTTGAGGTTCCTCATCTTGGAAGGGATCAGGCCGGACGAAGGTTTAGACATGTTAACACTGGGGAAAATAGCTTTCTAGCGCAGTGGAAACCAGGGGCAGAGACATCGCGGTATTGAACCAGATTTCTCTCGACAAGTTAAGATGCTGACTTGCTGAGGCTCTGTTTGGTCCTAGGGACCAGATGCAGTGAGCCGAGATCGCGCCATTGCACTCCAGCCTGAGCAACAAGAGTGAAACTCCATCTCAAAAAAAAAAAAAAAAAAAAACAGCAAAAAACAAAACCAAACCAAAACGTTGCCTTAAACTGAAGCATACACATCAACAGCATAAGTTCTTCCAGGATGATGATGAAAGGACAAGGCATAAAATGGTTACAGTGTCCCCAGAGTTACGCTTTCCAGACGCAGCCCTAAGTGGTGAAAAATCGTGCTCCTGGAGCTCCCTAGGGAGGGTGCAGCTTCCAGGAGAGAGGCTGCACCTGCTTCTGGCCCACAGAGGGCACCTTGCTGCTCACACATTTTTATACTACTGGATCATTCAATTGTAGGTTTGCAACTAGTCTCTTCCCACCAACCTATAACCCCTTGGAAGTAAAATGTTTAAAATTTCCACTAACCCTGAAATTTTGTTACTATCAAATATTGGTTTAAAAGACTAAAATTAATACCAACAAGACATACCAATTAATCCTGACATGTTGCCTATGAGGGAGATACTATCATTATTATTTCCACTTTACAGATTAATAAAATGCAATTTAGAAATATAAAATAACTTCCCCATGGTCTCTCAGTTTGTAGCATTTGGACTAAAGCTGCAGGATATCCAACTCCAAAACTCAAGGTTCAGCCATGATGATAAGATATTCCTTGCACTTAGAAGCACTGACATTAAATTAAGAGAGAGAATGAATAACAGCAGCTTTAACCAACCAACCAAAGTAAACCTGTTTTTTAGGGAATAGAGAATAAGTCTTGATTTTTTAATTTAAGGGAATTTGTGTAATACCCAATGAGATAAATTTCAATCCTGTATTACAATCAGTTTGACTCATATTATCTTGTTGACAAACCATAGATTTGTAATAATTCTAGAAAAATGCCTCTGTTGTGTTTCAAACTCACTACGTCACTTTACAGGCAGCCACAGGTGCAGTTGTTTAACGGTGAGCTGCCTGTAGAGTATAACCAAGACAGCTGAACTCTCATTGCAGTTTACTGTAAGCTTGAAGATAAATAACTCATTTTGCAGCAAATGCTTCTACCTCTTCACCAACAATTACAATCCTTTAGTTTTTCAATGTACATAAAGAGAACTCCCCTAAGAAAAAAATGAAAAAATATACACAAATTTTGAAAGTCATCCTTCCTGAGTAGGTATCCATTGTAAACAGAATGGCTGATAAAATGCCTTACAGACTGAAACGCAAGATGACCAAGCATGAAGATTTAAGAAATAGGAGTAACAAAAATAAAAACACCATATAACTAATACAGTCATTATCTCAGAAATAAATGTGTATTGCTTAGCTTGAAGAGTCACTACCAAAAAGGTCAAGATCTTAAAAGAACAGGTACTGTTGCAATCACTGAGAGGGTTCCAGGAAATATACAGCTAATATGAAGAAACAAAAAGAAGAGAAAAGTCCTGAGGTTAGCAGGACTAGTGGAATAAATGACAATTATTTAAGAATTCTGATTATGTATTCTGTAAATTATTTCTTGCATTTATAAATACTGTATTTGTAGGAGTCAAATGATTCTGACAATATTACTTTTGTCTTCTCCTATAGTAATATTTTAATCATAAACTAACACCTCCTAAACATGTAAGAGATATCTGAACTTTTTAATTAATTAAATCACCCAGTTAGTTACTAGGTGAGTTACCTGAGTGCCTCTAGGGACTCAGGAGATGGCGGTGGCAATGGCATAAATGAGAAGGGTAAGTCATGAGGGGGAAGTTTTGTGCCATAAACCTGTAAGTGCAAAATCAGGCAAAGGGCCACATTGTCTGCTTTACATGCCATTTTAGTGTCTCTCTAAAAAATATTTTCATTGCCCTTGTAAAATAATTTATATATGTTAACTTATACATACACTTCAATATATTTGTGCATCAAATTTCAAAAGCTCTAGAACCCTGAATATATTTAATGTGTGCCTTTAAATTTGCATTACACCTCAAATATATAAATGTCAAATATGTACATGAATTTTTAAAACATAAAAATATTTTTAAGGATGCCCTGTGGTCTAAATCAAATAAATGTTCACGAAGGGAAAGGAAGGTTAGGCACTAGACTCTACTAGGCCACAACACGTATCTGAGCTTTGCCTATGAAGTTTTGAATCTACAAAAACAACTTATCTATTTTCCAGATTTGTGAACTCTAATTGATGAAAACTCAAGTCTGTATTTTTTTAAAAAAGAAACTGAAAGATAACTAGCATAGAAAGAGCCATATACACAGTTTAGTTGGTTTTGCTACTGTTTATATTTTGAAAAGCAAAGATTATAGGCAATGCTCCACACTGTAAATAACAATTACTCTATGTCTAATCCATTTCTATGCATTGAGAATAGAACACACAGTCAAGATGTGTCCATGGTGGCTTTTTGCTTTATTCTCACCAATTAACAGGTGATTGGATATGACAGTAATTAGACACCTCAGCTGGAAGAAGATCATTATGTCTTAATGAGAGGATTAAAAACAATAAAAATGTGCTTATTGCAAAATATGAGCACATACCTTAAGTAGCAATAGTACAATTTATTTTGTCTCCAAGTTTATTGTGCTTTGTCAGCCCATATCAAAAAAAATTTCCCACCAACATGTGACTTAGAAAATTACGCAACCTAAGCATACAATTAACAATTTTTGGTGAGTCAGTTCTATGTTTTGGCTTATTTTTTTTGATAATGTTCACTAGTGCTTCTCTGACAAGTTACAGTTGCCACATAATATTATAAATGTTATACTGGTACATTTCACATTCACCCAAAATTTCAGCTATATACTCAGCAGTATACCTGCTATGTAGTTCAAGATACCATCTCAAATTTAACTTCCTCAATTTCCATGAGATGGATTTTTTTTTTAGACCTGCACACAGACCTATGTACACCCTTGGCAGGCACTCACAGATGCAGAGTGACTGGAAGGAGCACAGAAGGTCTCTGATGCAATGCACATGCCACCCCAGCAAGGTCAAAAGTCTCCTAGCAACTCTTCTTCGGGTTAGAGTTTTGTTTCCCTAAAACTGATGTTTAATTGCATGTGCCATCTGTAAAGGACAGTATTAATAGCTAACACCTCCTCTTATTCCACCATTAATTAATTATCAAATGTGCCAGCATTGAGATCTGCTTTACAGGAACTGAAAAATACAGTGTAAAATCAGGACAGGATAGAAGAGAGGGACGAAGAACGACTTGCAAAACCCTACTTGTCAGGGGACATGTGGGTAAAAAGTTTTGTTCATTCACTCACACACTCTTTCAGTCACTCATTCAGAAGGACTTACTGATCACCTGTTATCCACATTGGCAGAGTATATAAATTAATATTTAACCAAGGTAATCATTCTTTAGTCCTAAACCAAGAAGATGCTCTCATAAACATTATGTATTATTGCCAATTTGGAAGTAAAACAATTCTATACCCGTATATTCAAAACCATGAGCTGTCACCCAGGAACCTCCTAACTCATGGCTCTTAAACCTATAAATATTAGGGTATCCAAATGTATCCTTCTCTCCTTCATTTAAGAGACAGAATAGGGTTTCCCTCTTTTATTTAAGGCCCATTTACCCATATCCTCTGGACACTACCCCTGACCCCACTGCCTTCTGAAGACTTTGTGCATTATCCCATAGTAGTTCATGGTAGAGTATTTATTTGCTTGATAGTAAGCCCGCTGGGGACAAGGGAGCTTGCCTACTTTATTCTTATTTCTATCTCTAGCATCTAACACACCTTGGCACACAATATTAAGTCAATCAATCCTTGCTGAATAAATAGACTTAGCAATGTGCACAACTTCTGCCCCACCCCGTTGCTATCACTGTAATTACCCCATTAAATGCCATAAATATTATTTATAAAAAGAATAAAACTTACACTGCCTTCCAGTGGTAAGCATATAATTGTTGCATGACACTCTATACAATGATACCCCCCCGTAATATAACTCACTACACAGTTTTTACACTGAAACTGTATCCTTCTTGTATTATAAAGGTGAAATGGTATATAGCCAAGCATATCTGAGCAATGGTATGGCTTTTTCTTGCTATCTTCTATCAATCAATTTATTTGTACAGCACAAAATTGCTACTCCTCTGAATTGAAGCAGGAGAAAGCCTTACATAATATAACACTATTCTGATACATCTTGACATATACATTATGTAACAGTACTTTTCCTTTGCTATACTTCGCAATATAATCGAGAAATGCTCTTTTAAAGTCAGCAACATCAGCAGGAATAAGACTTTTAAATGAAGCTCCTAGGAAGACAGAATTCTCACACTTAAAAACAAAGTATTTATTCCACAGGAATAAATATTACATGTTTTCTGAAATTGATCAACTGCAGTGATCAGGTAACACTTGCATTGTTAAGCAGTAAGAATGATTTCTTAAAAATTATTATTTAATGTCATGGCATTTTAAGTTAGATCTTAAAATTTTTAATTGATAATAATTGTACATAATTATGGGTACAATGTGATATTTTGATATATGTATACATTGTAGAAAGATTAAATCAAGCTAATTAGCATATGCATCACCTCACCCTACTTACCATTTTTTGTTGTGAGAATATTTAAAATCTATTCTTTTAGCAGTTTAGAAATATATAATACATTATGATTAATATTATTTTTTGAGACGGAGTCACACTCTGTCACCCAGCCTGAAGTGCAGTGGTGTGATCTGGGCTCACTGCAACAAACACTTCCCAGGTTCAAGCTATTCTCCCACCTCAGCCGCCCAAGTAGCTGGGATTACAGGCACCTGCCAGCACACCTGGCTAATTTTTGTATTTTTGGTAGAGACAGGGTTTCACCATGTTGGCCAGGCTGGTCTTGAACTCCCGACCTCAAGTGATCTGCCTGCTTTGGCCTCCCACAGTGCTGGGATTACAGGCATGAGTCACCATGCCTGGCCATATAATACATTATTAACTATGATCAGCATCCCATGCAATTATTCCTTCTGTCTAGCTAGCTAGAACTTTGTACCCTTTGACCAACATCTCCCTATTTCCTTCCACTCCAGCCTCTGCTTCTATGATTTCAGCATTTTTAGATTCCACATACAAGTGAAATTATGCAGTTATCTGTCTTTCTGTGCCTGACTTATTTCACTTAGTATAATTTTTATCTGAAAAATAATTTTTTTTTGTTATGGTCCTATGATGAAATATAAAACCATAGTAATAACTAACAAGTAATAGTACTACCAGGAGTACTAATACTACTTAAAGTTTATTGAGCACTTACTATATTCAGGCACTTTCCTAAGGGGTTTCAATGTATTAGTGCATTTAAAACTCAGAGCAGCCCCAGTAACACAAGAATAATCATTATCAGTATTTATTCTTCCCTAGGAACCTGAGGTGCAGAGATTTGAAGGAATTTTCCCAGGACGGCAGCTGATAAGTGGTAGACTGAGGGTTTAAACCCATGCTGTTAGTGTTAAACATTATTCTTTCTTTAGTGTCTTTATACTTTCATGTGAATAAAAATAAATTACTATTACATGCCTCTTTCTGTCTGAAACTGAAGTCATTTTTTAAAACTGTTTGGAGCACATTTCAGAATAGGAATGATATTCAGGATCAGCCACTCAAATTTCAATATTTTAAGGAAAGGGTCTTATGAAGTGTGTATTCAATCTTATCAATGCATGGATAATGGTGAGCTATCTGGCAACTGCCAAAATCCTACTACTGTATGACTTAGAAATAAACAACTATTTTAAGCGCTACTTGGTAACTATGCTGCCAACCAGTTTCTACACTGCCTTTATAGGAAATAATGTACTGTGATCACCAATGACTCTGTTTATAATAAATCAAATATTTTATAAATTTATACAATTATATGGAAATCCCAGACACATTTCTCCTTTAGAAAGGCAAGCAGAAACAAATCTATCCCGTGTTCAGGAAAGTAAAGGTTTTCTTCGTGAGTACGCTCTGAATCTAAATAAGCCTCAGTCCAAAAAGAGTTTTACTGCAGACTGATAATCCCCTAGGTTTATAATAAAAATGCTGACAGAGCTTTAGCTACAGCATAACAAATGAAAGGCCATAATGTTCTTCTGTCAGAAATTCCTATTTATTTCCAGTGTCCTAACAGATGGGCTTTACTGCCTTGAAACTCCCCCCCAAAAGTTAATTGCTTGTCTATCAAAAAGATAAACATCTTGTTTTAGGCTTTGGGGATATTACATGTGTAGAGAAAAACCAATACTCGAGCAACACATTGTGTCCGAAATGCATTCGCAGTAAGAGAGCCATACTCTCTCAGGGCATCAGAGTAAGGAACAGCTGGATGACTCCAACTTCTTAAAAAGTACAGGATTCTCTGCATAGTGACACTAGCATCTATAATACCTAGATTTTAGTATACCAATAAGGATTGATTTACTGCCACATAAATGACTATAATAACTTTACAAAACAAACTTCAAAATGAAGGTGAAACTCTTTTAGACTCTTGAAATAGTGCCTCAAGCAAAATGAACCTTAAACATATCTAATCCAGTATTTTTCCTTTTTTTTTTTTTTTTTGAGATGGAGTCTCTCTCTGTCGCCAGGCTGGAGTGCAGTGGTGAGATCTCTGCTCACTGCAACCTCTGCCTCCCAGGTTCAAGCGATTCTCCTGCCTCGGCCTCCCGAGTAGCTGGGACTACAGGCATGCACCACCACACCCGGCTAATTTTTAATTTTTTTTTTTAGTAGAGATGGGGTTTCACCATGTTGGCTAGGACGGTCTCCATCTCTTGACCTCGCAATCCGCCCGCCTCGGCCTCCCAAAGTGCTGGAAAACTATGCGTTTACTACTTTAGCTAGTGTACAATAGCATGGGGATCTCATTCTCCAAAGAGCTGGTTTAAATGGAAAATATGTAGACAGCCTCTTAACTAATGATTCGCATTAAAAAGGAAAATTATGACTTTAACACATGCGTATTGGTGCCACTACCAGATTGCACGGGAAATGAACCTGACTGAATCTGGACATTTTTGTGTTCTTAGAATATTTTACTTACAAATATAACAGTTGTATAAAAAGTAATAATACAGAAGTGTTGGTATCTATCCTTTCACTTTTTCCACTCACACACACACACACACACACACTACCGCAGATAGGCAAGCAGGCCGACTGAAGCATGTTGAATAAATCATACTTCTATTCTTACTGTTCTGCTGCTTTTTTCACTAAGCAATGTATGATGGACATCTTTGATAAAGGCCTCATTCATTCTGACGAATGGACAGTTTCCATTTTATACATATTCTACAATGCACTTTATTAGTTAATGAGGGTATCTTCTCTCTCACAATATTTTTTATAAACAGAAAGGTAATATTTGCACATGCATTAACATACATGACATTGCAATCTGATATGCTTAAATACATATTAGACATACCAAAATATATCAAATACATATTATTTCTTAACTGCTTTGCACGTGCATTCTGCTTGTCTTCTATGGAAGATAAAGAATTGAGGGATGTTATACCCATTCCCTCCTTCTTTCCTATTCTACCTCCTGACTTCTGGCATTTGTATTTTACTTTTATCTCCTCAACAGGTTATCATTTATAACTTCAAGTAATATATATTTAAGCTGTCTTGTTGACTTATCAACCTTAAGTCAACATCTTTTTCAGTGAAAATGAGGAACTGCTGCGTAGACACTTGATTCCACTTTTTCCGTGTTCTGCCACCTTCTGGTTATTGTTAATTACATTATTTTTTTTCTAACATCAAGAGAATAATTTAGTCTCCAATGCTTTGTGTAAAATTTGATTCTAAAAATTAAAACTCAACATAAGCAACATTTCTAGCATTATGACTACTGAATACTATTCATTGCAAAATGTAGTAGTGTAATTAGATCCTTAGGGAAGGGATTTTCATCCAACACTAATGTGCTGCTGCATAAGAAAGAGTTTTGAAAGTTTCAGGCCTTCATGTATTATCTTTTTATTCCCTTTTAGTTCTCCATTTAGTTTCAGTTTTCCCTTTAATTTATATTCAGCTATCACTTCTCCTGTATATCATCCTTTTACTCATTTTTTTTGGGTTAACACCCAACACATTTGCATATAGATATTCTTTTTAATTTTTAATAAAGATGGGGTCTTTCTATGTTGTTCAGGCTGGCCTCCAACTCCTGGCATTAAGCAATCCTCCTGCCTTAGCCTTCCAAAGTGTTGGGATGACAGGCATGAGCCACTGTGCCCAGATATATATTTTTTACCAATCTTTGTATTTCCGGTGTGTATGATTAAAAGTTGGGAATAGAATTCTATATTTAAATTAATTTTCTCTCAGGTCTTTGAAGACACTGCTTTGATAGCTTCTCGGATCCAGTGTTGTTGATGGAAAACATAATGTTAGCCTGGTTTTCATTCCTTTGCAGACAATCTATTTTAGTCTCATTGGAAGCTTGTGGCATCTTCTTTATTTTGAAATTTCATCAAGATATCTCCACATATCCAGCTTTGATCCAGCCCGCTTGCCAGACTTTTACATCTGTCTATTGATGCCTATGGTAAATTGAGAGCAGCAATGGCCCCAATTTGTGCCTAGCTTTGGAAGAGCCCTTCCCGGGTTCTCTGGGTTTGGCCACATAATTTGCTTTGGCCCATGGGACAGTACTAAAGGAAAGTAAGTAGCGACTTGAAAATGCCCCTGCCTTGGAAATTGCACTCCTGCTGCTCTTAGGAATCCTGCTGCCAAGAGAACAAGTCGAGGTTAGCAGGGTGATGAAAGACACATGGCTCAGCTCCTCCCATCACCACAAAGATCACAGATAACGGCATGTGAGTTCACCTTCTATGAGCTAATCCCAGCCAATCTTCCACTGACCAGAGAAACATGAGTCAGTTCAGGTGGAAACAGCCACACTGCCCACATCAGAAGAATCAACCAGCCGAATCAGACACAAGCTAAATGAATGGTCTTTGTTTTAAATCACTAAGTTTTGAAGTCATGTGTTACATAACAAATGTTAATTGACATAGACTATTTCTTGAGCTTATAAAATGTTGTCATGAAACTTTATTTTCTGCCTTTCATTGTCTTATTATTTTGTATTAATCAGATGTTGGACCTACTGACTCTATTCACTATTGCCCCTAACTCTTTAATGTTCCATTTCCTTATCTTTCTGTTTTAAGTGTTCAGAGTTAATCTTCAATTTATTTATTTATTTTTTATTTACTGAGACAGAGTCTTGCTCTGTGGCCCAGGCTGGAGGGCAGTGGCACCATCTCGGCTTACTGCAGCCTCCATCTCCGGGTTCAATTGATTCTCCTGTCTCAGCCTTCCAAGGAGCTGGGACTACAGGTATATGCCACCACGCCTAGCTAATTGTATTTTTTAGTAGAGACGGGGCTTCACCATGTTGGCCAGGCTTGTCTTGAACTCCTAACCTCAAGTGATTCGCCCTCCTCAGCCTCACAAAGTGCTGGGATTACAGGCTTGAGCCACCGCACCCAGCCTAATCTTCACTTTAAGTTGAAGAAAAAAACATGTTTAGGCATCAACAGTTCCCTTTCCATTATTTGGTTTAATACATTTTTACTGTGATAATCATACTTTTAATTTCCTGGAAATTTCTTGTTTTGATTGTTCCTTTTTCATAACAGCCTTTACAGCTATTATTTCCTTTCAAATTCTGTTTTTTTTTTTGTTTTGTTTTTTTTTGGTAGCAGAGTCTCGCTCTGCTCCCCAGGCGAATTTTTGCATTTTTAGTAGAGACGGGGTTTTGCAATGTTGGCCAGGTTGGTCTCCAACACCTCGCCTCAGGTCATCTGCCCACCTTGGCCTTTCAAAGTGCTAGGATTATAGGGGTGAGCCACCGTGCCTGGCCTTCCTCTCAAATTCTGCTGAGGGTATTAATTAGACACCTTTTTAAAAGTTTCTGGTAATCCCTGAATTGTACATGAATCTTCTGGTATCGGTTGCCCTTTTCATTCTTCTAAATACAGTTTTTCCCTAAATATCTGATTGATGATTCTTGGATCTGATAATCCTAGTTACTTTTCTAAGTGAAAAATGACATTGATTTGTATGGGTAATTCATATTGTTTCATCTGCACTGTGAAATACATGATCCCAAAAGGCTTCTTCCTGGAATGAAAGACATGTCAACACTCAGAACATTCTGTGGGTTTCATGAGCGGAAAAGCAGGCAGGCAGGCTGGTGACACCCATGCCTGCCAAGACAGACAAGTTTTATTTTACACGTGAAATGCTTTATGAACCTCCCTTTTTTACACGTGAAATGCTTTATGAACCGCCCTCCTGAACACCTTTCCCACTTTTCCCCAATGCTCAATGTAGGATTTCACTTCAGAGAAACAAAACAAAACAGAAAACAAAAACAAACAAAAAAAACCTTTTCCATTGTTTTAATGCTACCATATGAGAAAAGAGAATTAAGCTAGTGTGTTGAACCTGCTGACTTAAACTGGAAACCCAGTCATTAGGCTTCAGCCTCAACCTCTTTTTTTTGGATCTTGTTCGTTAGCTTCTTCGGGTCATAAATGCCTCATGCTGATAACAGAATTCACTCGGTTTTATTTTTGAGAGAATACATTTTGAGAATGATTCATGTAGGGAATAATTTATGTGTGAAGAATAAAGTTTCCAATATAGAGATCTTATTTTAAAAATTGGCTTTTTTTCTTAATTTCAGAGAATTGATGACACTTTTTAAAGGATTTCTGAAATCAGTGATCACTTAGATGAATGTTGCTATTATCTGCACACATTGCTACATTAAACGCTCCAGAATTTAAAGTTCGTTTGAGCTTTCTGACACTAAATAATATTTCGTTTTATTTCCAAACTTATGAAAGCAACATAGGCCCAAAAGGACAGCAGTATATTAAAATAAAATAAGGTTATTTTCCAATGAGAATAGAGATAAATCATTTTCCCAAGGAGAGTTCACCAAAGCTAGAGACTGGCCGAAGAAAAGTAGCCCTCAGCTTCAAAGATCAAGCTAATTTTAAAACACAACCTATCTCCTGCTTCATTTGTCTTAAATCTTAAGGCTGTTGTCCAACAGGTCATGGCAGTCAAAAGAACTGTCATATAAAATGTACATCTAGTAAGGCCCTCTCTATTTTTATTTTAAAACAGTGATTTTAAAAATTTTGGTAGAATAACCTAATTATCAAATAAAAGCTTATAGAAACCCACATACCTACACATATATAAAAAAACTGAAGTACAGTTGTTTTGCTTGAGAAGGCTGAAGGTGGGGGCAGAGATGCTTCACAGCCTAGCTTCATTCAGGGTCCTGAGATACCACAAAGACACCGTTTTTCTCAAACAAAACTGAAATCTGCCAGGCATGGTGTCTCACACCTGTAATCCCAGCACTTTGGGAGGCCGAGGTGGGCGGATCACCTGAGGTCGGGAGGTCGAGATCAGCCTGGCTAACATGGTGAAACCCTGTCTCTACTAAATATACAAAATTAACTGGGCATGGTGCCGCATCCCTGTAGTCCCAGCTACTCGGGAGGCTGAGGCAGGAGAATCGCTTGAACCCAGGAGGCGGAGGTTGCAGTGAGCTGGGATCATGCCACTGCACTCCAGCCTGGGCAACAGAGTGAGACTCTGTCTCCACAAAAAAAAAAAAACAAAAACCAAAAACTGAAATCTACTCTTCTGTTACGTGAGGAGAACAATCTGTGTCTCATATTTAAAATTTACAAGTATAGATACATTTTTCATGAATATTTATTAAAAACAATTAAATAAAAATTATTCCATTAACTCATTTGTTTAACATTTCCATGTAACCACAGCAATGCAAAGCACTTTGAGAGCTGCATGGGAGGTCTAAGACATGGTTTCTAATATCGGAGTTCAAATAGAAATCACATCGGAAGCTGAAGCCACATTGTGTGGTGCTCACTTCCACAGCAGACTTGTACAGCTTGAAGTATTTAAGCAGATTAACTGTAAAGGAAAAGGAAAAATGTTACTTAGCTGCATCTTAAAAGACTCTTGGGATTCAAACAATCTATAGGAGGAAGACAGCTAACACACCAGCGGTAGAGAAAACACAAACATTTTTGTTTGTTCGGTTTTTTGTAGAGACAGGGTCTCCTCTTGAACTCCTGGCCTCAAGGGCTCCTCCTGCCTTAGCCTCCCAAAGTGCTGGGATTACAGGTGTGAGACACCATGCCCAGCAAGGACAGATTTTCAAGAAGAGAACACAGCAGGGATGTGGTAACAAGAGGACATCTGTGTAACTGAAGTGGAAAATAACATATATTGGAGCTTGAAGGGAAATAAAATTAAATACCTAAGTGAGGAAAATACAATTAGTGTTTCAACCATCTGCTACCACTTCCTACTATGCCCTTCCTTCTGGGAAGGCTCTATTTCCCTTCTTCACTCAGGTAAGGCTCTTGCATAAGTGACTTGCTTTGGCCAATGAAATGGAATTAGATGAAATCACTGTGATGTCTCTTCTCTCTGTCATAAGGCTGAACGTGCTCCAGATAGAACCAGCTCCATCAGCTTCTGTCGTGGAGTGAGGGCAACTTCAGCCGTGCCACTGCAAACTCACGATGAGCGTGTAACTGAGCGAGGAATAAATCAGTGTTGTTGAAGCCCCTGGATCAATTATCACTGCAGCTCAGACAATCCTCACTGATACAATGCTTAGTACCAGATGAAGGATGACGTTAAAGTGAGGACTGATGTCTATCTAGTGTAGGTTTATAAACAGTTTTCATTTCCAAACATGCCTTTTCACTCAGTGACTTTAACATGGGGATGGGTGATGCTGAACTTGGTCTTGTCTAGCCTTAGTTTACATGGCGGCATGGCAGCCAGTGCTCATGTTCAGGAACCTAAGATGAGAAGGCAAGTGTCTTCAGGGTTTACTCAATGTCACTTTCTCATTAAGACTTAACCATCCATTTCAAATTGTAAATGAGTCCCTTCCTCTTTTTTTCTACTCTGTATCTCCCTCCCTTATTGTCTTTCTCCACACTACTTCACCACCATTTGCATGTGTGTGTGTATATGTATTTATGTATGTGTGTGTATCATGTATATATATGTGTGTGTGTGTGTATATATATATAAACTTATGTTTGCAAAAACATATCTAAAACTTATATAAAATTTATCTAGTTGCAAAAACCTGAAAATTAATACACATCTCATAGTTCCTTTCTGAAAAATTATGATCTCTACATCCCCATGAAGAAAGTAAGACAAATAAACAAAGCACTAGGAAAGTTACTCCAGTTACTTCATTAGCATGAATTTGCAAGAAAGACTTCAGTCTGCTTTCTTTAACAGATAAAATATATCACAGTTCAGGCAGACCTTGACTTACGCTAACTCGACATATCTTGACTAATGAATGACTTATTTACAACTGGGTAGAGACTAGGAAAATCCCCACATATGCTGCCAAATACAATAGGTATCGCTGGCAACCAAATCAGAACCATTCCCCTGCCTCACAAAATGATACTTAGGTTAAGTGCAATCATTGATTAGTGCAATATTTCTGGTAGATTTGGGGTTAATCTGGTTTTTGCATGCTGGATGGGGAATTTACCACTGTTATGTTCTTTCATGACAAAACAAATGTGATGTTTTAAACAAAAACATTTTCTAATGCATTTGTGTAATGTTTCCATTTGAAAGGTAGAGAATGACTGTGCTATATTTGCAAAACACAAGACCTCTCAGGGACAGCATAATACTTGCACTTCCAAAAAGCTTTTCCCCTCAAAGGAAGACACTGTGCCCTTGAGAATGACTCTCGAATTAATCATAGAGGAAGAACTTTCATTTATAAATTACTACTCTTACATTTCACAGATGAAAGAAACAGAATACTTTATAATATTTAAAAAAACTATCTGGATATGGTGGCTCAGGCCGGGTATGGTGGCTCAGGCCTGTAATCTAGCACTTTGGAAAGCCGCGGAGGGTGGATCACTTGAGGTCAGGAGTTCAAAATCAGCCTGGCCAACGTGGTGAAGCCCTCTCTACTAAAAATACAAAAAAATAGCTGGGCCTGGTAGTGGGCGCCTGTAATCCCAGCTACTTTGGAGGCTGAGGCAGGAGAATTGCTTGAAAGCGGGAGGTGGAGGTTGCAGTGAGCCAAGATCATGCCACTGCACTCCAGCCTGGACAACACAGCGAGACTCTGTCTCCAAAAAAAAAAAAAAAATTTAACTGAGCATAAGATGATTAAAATATAGTCCCTTCACATGTCTTTAACTGCATTATATTCAATAAAATATTCATTTTAAAATGAAAACTTGAAAGTAACTGACCATTCAAATTTTGAACAAGCTGAAGAAGCTTCAAATAGCAGATAATTACCAATGTTTTAAACGTAGTATGTCCTGGAGGGAATCCAACATCAGGATAAACAAGGCAAAGTCTCTGTTCTACAGAATTCAATGCAGTGCTGGAGACTGAGATGCAACCACATAATCCTATCATCTCAAACTGAACTTCAAGGAGGGAGTAACTAACTATGCCCTGAAAATGATGGACAATTTCTAAGAGGGCTTGATACTTGGGCTCTGTCTTGAAGGATGCAAGGTCCTTCCTTATGAAGAATCTACCATACATAATAGTGCAGAGGTGAAAAGAAAGCACATTCAGGAAACAGTCTGTGATGGCTTCACCCAGAATAGAGGGCATTCAATGACCTGGAAGATGTTTTAAGAGGTTATTCAAAAATATTTACTATCAACTCAATGTTTGTCATAGGAAATGATTTTGTATAGAAATTATTTCCCCAGATTGTGAAGAGCTCTACGCTGCCTACTTTGGAGTTTATTTTATAGGTAATGAGGAGTTATCAGTGGCTTGTAAACAGGAGACTGGTAGGATCAATTTCTTTTTCTTTATTTAAGGAAGGTAACTGGAGTTGGAGGCGAGGGAGACTGGTGACCAAGAGATTAGTTAATAAGCAACTATAATGACTGAGGTGAGAGATGATGAAGGGTAAAATGGGGCAGTTAGGCAGGGTGAACGCAGGTGAAGAAATTATCACCATACACAATGGTGTGGCGAAACAAATAGGTGGAGAGACACAAGAATCTGCAATAACTTTTAAGAATTTATAACTTAAGGAACTGTTTGGGCATATTAACCAATAACAATGGAGCAACTAGAGATGATCAGTGGGCAGTTTTGAATACTAGGAGAGATGTCAAGAGTCATCACAGGACAGGTTGTAGTTGAGGCCAGGTCAAGAGTCTAAGATGCCACTGTATAGGATATAGCAGTAAAAGAAAGAACAGGAAAACAAGAGACCTAAGCAGAGGAAAGGGAGACATCAAACCACTCGGTATCACTCGAGTGATAGAGCCAATGAACATGGGCTACAGGGAGTAGGACACAATGTCATGAGGTCGACAGAAGAAAATACATAAGGACTATAACAGTCTTTAGAGGTAGCAATAAGGAAGTCATTGGAGGAAAATTTGAGAGTTTGTGGGGTTAGAAGCCAGACTGTCATGAAATCAGGAATGGGAAATAAGGCAGAGAAAAAAGGTCGTTTCTGAAAGTTTTGATGATGAAGACGCAGAGGAAACAAGGACAGTTGGTTGAGGGTAAGGTAGAGTTGAAAATTAAGGTAAAGGGAACTTAAACATAACTGTATGACCTAAAGATGGATCCAGTTAAGAAATCAATGATAGAAGCTATAATTGTGAGGCAAAGTAAGACAGAAATAACCTCGGAGATGAAGAAAGGAGGCCACCCTTTTTTGAGCATTCAATGTGTACCAGATGTTTTGCTGTACACTTTCAGATGCATTTCCTAAATTAGCTAAATATTACCAATAAGTAGGTATCAGTATCCCTAATCCATAGTCAGGAAATGATGGAGTAGAAAGGTTTATTAAAATTGGAATATCTCAGAAGTGAAGATCTCTATGTGAAATAGGAGACAAATCATATGTTCCAACAGCATTAGGAATCAAGTAGTGAAAATGGCAGAGCTCCCATATTGAATGAGAAAGTGATTCTTGGCAGATAAGACAAGAAAAAAAATATTCAGAGTGCATGGTAATTATTGAATAATAACAAAAAGTTAACCTGGAATGATTGCATTATTTTCAAGCACTAGCTCAACCATAAGTGTATTCTTATATATAAGGTCTAATGAATGCTTTAATGAACAATAGCTTTTCATTTTGCCAAAGATACAGGAATATGGTTCAAAGTAATGTTACCTACATTAATCCTCACTAGAGTTTAACCTTAACCCAGTGAAGGTTAATAAGGTTCCCTATTTCTATAAGGAAACTGTACTAAAATAATGTCTCGTACTATTTTACAATTATTTTATTATGTGAAAACTCCATGCTGGGAATCACTACCAAAGACTAATTTAAAACTAATTATTTCAGCATTAATCTGGATAATGATCCATAATGAATGAAAAATGAATAATCTGACATTTCAGGGGTTCCCTACTGCCCCAATTCATATACAAGAAAATGCTTTTGCTATGCCTTTCATACATAGATTAAACCACAATCTAAAATATCCCAAAGTGTTGAGATACTTACAAATTATATTTTAGTTATTTATAGACTAGAATGCATAAATCTAAGTTTCAATGCTGAGTTAATTAAGGAAAGTCCAATTTTATAACATTATTTTTGCATGTGGAAAAATAACTAATACATAATGCTTGACCATATGGTCTGTTAGTCCTTTTGCTAATTACCTACAAATCACTACACAGGTTTTACAGCTGCTATATATTATTAACTGTAGCATGTTTTCCCCAAAGATTTTATTCCTCTCTTCATACATTTTTGTTTTAACTATGTACAAAACAAGTTCGTATTTTTAAAAGAGTCAATTGCAGAAGACTGAATACACAACATATATATATTTAAAGGAATGATGCTTTACATTTAAATTAATGTTAATTAATTGATAAAAGTTTCAGCAGACCAAAATATTGAATAATTTTCTTTTAGTCAACATTTTAAAATTCTTCATTAAAGTCTGGTAGCCTACGACACGCAATGCTGCAGTCAGGCATTAAAATGTTGTAATAACAGTTTCTGATATAGAAAGCAATTAGCTGTTTAAAAAAATGATGTATTTCATATAAGCCATATCTAATTTGGGACATGTGCTTTAAACAATGTTAGAATTAAATCTGAATTTTGTCACAGAATCTAGAATAATTATTATGTTTTAAAAGTATAATGACTGAATAGCATGTCAGAGAAAATGGCAGAAAATTAAAATTGAAATTGAAGTATATAATTCCCAATAAAATGCTTGCTTCTATCCTCCTCAGAATACTTTCATTACATTCTACTTCTTTATCCAATTGGATAAACTACCTAGCTGCAGTGTAAAATCCTACTGGGCCAGGATTATGACTGATTCATCACATGCGTCAACTGTGCACGATGGTCTGCACAAGTAGGTGCTAAAGGTGTTTGCTGAAATAAAAGATCCATACTTTTCGAATCAAACAAGTTCTTACTCTTACGGTGCACACATTGATTTACCACCTTAGTCATACAGTAATAGTGTATAAAAGCCAAAAAGATTACTGAGTATATAAAATAATTGGTATCTGAAAGGCCCTTTTAACTACCAACTATAAATTCTTCCCTAAGCTTTATACTGTCCTGCCAAGCTAACAGGTTTTCTTCGTACTAATGCTGCACAGATCTTCAGAAAAGCTGCTATCAATTACTTTGATTTCCCAGGCTGCCCAAACTGCTAATGGAATTTAGTAATTAGAGTTCTTTTGAAACAATCCCAAATCTGAGCATTCTGCCTGATTACAAGCAGCCATCGACATTAACATCAATCGTTGACAACGTAATATACATTGGATGTGCCAGAGGTAATCATTATCTAAAATCCTGTTTCTAGAACATGACTTCTATCTAGTGAAGAACATGTAATGGGGATTTAAGATTCTTCTACCTCCAATAACTGATTCTATCATGAATCTTGTATACAGCATTCACAATCAGAAGCAAAGATATCTTTATCTGTAATATTTCCAGTCAATTTCATAGAAAAGAGCCTTGAATTCTGTCACCATTTTAAGAGGCCATTTTGTCCACATCTTCCCTTTCACCAAAAATGTAAT
The DNA here is from genome assembly GCF_000001405.40 of Homo sapiens. NCBI lineage: Eukaryota > Metazoa > Chordata > Mammalia > Primates > Hominidae > Homo > Homo sapiens. The sequence continues at coordinate 162,630,754 of NC_000006.12, forward strand.
CAGATATCAATACATTGTAAGCATGATACTGTCTTACACTTGTATTTGGAAGCAGGTTCCCAAGTTGATGATGAGCATTCAGAATAATAAACTTTGCAACCAGAATTGCTAACTTGTAAAGCCAAAAATCAACAGGAAGCAAAATGAGTCTGAAAAGCACAAAAAGTAAAAAATTTTATAGAACCATTTGCCCACAGATCAAAAGGAATTTTGATCAAATTGACTAGTATAACTCAGGAAATTACAGTTATTAGTCCTTAAGCATTTCCGGTAGAATTCTCATCTTTTCCAAAGCTTCACTCAAATACAACAGGTCATAAGACCTCACAATCTTCTCGGAACACTAATGGAGCTGCCACAGTATTTGAAGGACATGGTCATCTACTGTGTACAATGTTTCTGGAGGAAAATAAAACTTTTAGAGCAGAGTCATCTGTATTAGGTATCAATGAGATGTCAGGCCACCTCAGGAATGACTGTTCCACTACAGTCCATGTGCACTCAAATATATTAAATAGTCTATAAATTCAATGTCAAAATTAAATTGCAACTGTCAATAAACACAAATAGAGGACTGGTTTATTACTTCTGTTATATTAACCAGCTTTTCCAACTAAAAACTGCAATACTAACTCTGCGTTCTGCCTGGAATTCCTTATAAGAAGGGTGCTTTAAGAATTGATTTTTAGTGATGCTGAGCATTTTTTCATAGGTTTGTTGGTAGCTTGCATGTATTCTTTTGTGAAGTGCCTGTTCATGTCCTTTGCCCATTTTTAAATTTTTTTTATTGTGTTTTGCTTCTTGATTTGTTAGATTCCCTATAAATTCTGGATATTAGGCCTTTGTCAAATGCATAGTTTGTAAATATCCTCTGCCATTCTGTAGGTTGTCTCTTTAGTCTGTTGATAATTTCTTTTGCTGTGCAAGCTCAGTAGTTTAATTCAGTCCCACTTGTTTATTTTTGTTCTTGTTGCAATTGCTTTTGGGGACTTAGCCAAAAAATTTTTCCCAGAGCCAATGTTGACTAGAGTATTTCCTAAGTTGTCTTTCAGAATTATGATAGTTTGAGGTTTTACATTTAATCTTTGGTCCATTTTTAGTTTTTTTATATAGGGTGAAAGGCATCCAGGTTCAGTCTTCTGCATACAGCCAGTTAATCAACAGATAAATGCAAATCAAAACCACAATAAGATACCATCTTATACCAGTCAGAATGGCTATTATTAAAAAGTAAAAAAAAAAAAAAAAGATGTGGCAAGGCTGCAAACAAAAGGAAACGCTTATACACTTACACACTGTTGGTGGGAATGTAAATTAGTCCAGCCACTGTGGAAAGCAGTCTGGAGATTTCTCAAAGAACTTAAAACAGAGCTATCATTTAACCCAACAATCCCATTACTGGGTATATACTCACAGGAAAACAAATCATTCTACCAAAAAGACACATGCACTCACCTGTTCATCGCTACACTATTCACAATAGCAAAGACATGGAATAAACTCAGGTGTCCATCAATAGTAGACTGGATAAAGAAAATGTGGTACATATACACCATGGAATACTACATAGCCATAAGAAAGAATGAAATCATGTCCTTTGCAGCAACATGGATGAAGCTAGAGGCCATAATCCTAAATGAATTAATACAGGAACAAAAAAAAGAAATACTGCACGTTTCACTTATAAGTGGGAACTAAACATTGAACACACCTGGACATAACAATGGACACTGGGGACTATGAGAAGGAGGAGGGAGGGAGGCATGGGTTGAAAAACTACCTATCGGCTACTATGCTCACTACCTGGGTGATAGGATCCATACCCTGAACTATAGCATAACACAATATTCCCATGTAACAAACCTACACATGTACTCCTGTATCTAAGATAAAAGCTAAAATTAAAAATATAAATTAAAAAAATAAATAAAAAGAACTCACTTTTGTGTAACTGTAATAAGAAACAGAAGTAGGTAGAAAAGACAAAAATAAAACTTGAAATGATACAGAAAAATATGCCCAAGACAAAAATCCAGTTTGTTACAATAATATAGCAAATGTCCTTAGATACAAATGTAATTGGTAATTCTAATATAATACAAAATAATCAGGCTAACTTCTCCATTACAAGTATATTTTATAATCATTTTCCTGCTGGAAAACATAAGCAAAGCTGAAATTCAAAGGATTTGTTCAGTACAATCCCTTGTGAAAATATTTTTTCATTTAAAATATTAAATAGTGTTAAGTTTCAATACTTGTCATATTTAATTTATACTTTATGCATGTATTAATTTTGAATGTATCTTTAGTACATATCTTTTAGGATTCATTGCTATTCCTTACAACCTAGATGAGCTATAAAATCACCAGGCTAAACCTTTAAAAAAAAAAATGTAGGCCGGGTGCGGTGGCTCATGCCTTAATCCCAGCACTTTGGGAGGCCGAGGTGGGTGGATAACTTGAGGTAAGGAGTTCGAGACCAGCCTGGCCGACGTGGTGAAACCCCATCTCTACTAAAAATACAAAAAATTAGCCAGGCATGGTGGTAGGTGCCTGTAAGCCCAGTTATTTGGGAGGCTGAGGCAGGAGAATCAGTTGAATCCAGGAGGCGGAGGTTGCAGTGAGCTGAGATCACACCACTGCATTCCAGCCTAGGTGACAGAGCAAGACTGTCTCAAAAAAAAAAAAAAAAAAAAAAAAAAGGATCCATTTAGTCACTGGGAAGGGAGGACTTATAACTCCTAAAACTCCAGTTTCTAGAGAAATTCAATTATGTATAAAACCGGATTTCCAGAACTTCACACATTTGGCTGATTTTCTAGTTGAGAAATCATGTGAATTCACACAAACCTGGAGGTTGCAGATTGCCTGAGTTTTGTCCCACTTGCTGAATGCAGAGGCCCAGTGCACCCCATGACTGGTGTCCCCAGAACAGTCTCTTTCCGTGGGACCCTGAATGTGCCTGGGATGACAGAATAACATGAGGTGGGGGAGGAAGGGAGGAGAGTTTGTGATGTGAGGGATGGCAGGATGAAGCGAGGGAGGGAGGAACGTGTGTAGCTAGATGAGCTAAACAAGAGACTAACGACTGGAAAACTATTTTTCAACATTGCCCTAGACATTCTAGGTGTGAGGGAATTTAAATAATGTTTAAACATTAATCACTTCTAAATAATTAGAAGTGGAAAACAGTAAAGGAGAAATGAGACAGTTACAGAGACTGCTAAGTACATGAAAAATATACCACACGGTCTTGTGTCAACAAAACTAACCAGCATTTTACAAAAGGGCTCCAGTGGGGATGCCATTTCTTTAAAATAGTGACTCCCCTGAAACAAAAAAGCCAAAGTTCCCAGAACAGCCTGTGCATTCACCTCTCCATACCTGGGCTTTGGCTGTTCTCCAGGGTTGGAATGCATCTGCAGGTGTGGACATCTACCCTCACAGGCCTCCCTGTCTAACCCAGGGGCCAGCAAACATTGTCTGCAAAGGGCCAGGTGGTAAATGTTTTTGGCTCTGTGGCCTCCTGATGCTGCTGGTTTCTCCCTCCTCCTCCTCTTCCTTCCCCACCCTTAAAAAATGGAAAACCCAGGCCAGGCATGGTAGCTCACACCTGTAATCCCAGTGCTTTCTCCAAGGCACACCCTGAGGACTCAAACCACAGCTGCTAGGAAGCTCCCTGTTCTGCTGTTTCTACCATAGCTGTGATCACTTCCCACAGTAAGGATACAGTCCCATACACTCTCCTGCCTCTCTCCTCCAGCATGAATGCACACTTCTTCAGGCAGAGCTTTGATGTCTTATTTAGCTTGTATCACCAGCCACTAGTGCAATGGCTGACACGAGAAGAGTGATGGACATTTGCTGTTGTTGCTGTTATTGTTTTTAAGACGGAGTCTCGCTCTGTCACCAGGCTGAGTGCAGAGGCGTGATCTCAGCTCACTGCAACCTCCGCCTCCCAGGTTCAAGAGAGTCTCCTGCCTCAGTCTCCCAAGTAGCTGGGACTAAAGGCACACGCCACCATGGCCAGCTAATTTTTCTATTTTTAGTAGAGACGGGGTTTCACCATGTTGGCCAGCATGGTCTCGATCTCTTGACCTCATGATCCATCGGCCCCGGCCTCCCAAAGTGCTGGGAGACATATCTTTATTTAATTAAACATTCTTAGACTCCAGTTTTCTCACCTGTAATATTAAACATTTATGTTCCTTTTAATCTCTAAAATTCCCTAATTTCACTTTTGAGAAGTTCAAATACTGTATCTTACCTCAAGTATTTAAATAATGAGTTTAATTCTTAATTCTGCCTATACCAAAGAACAAAGTATCTTTTTACTTGACTTGATTTCTTCCTTTCATGCAGGACAGTCCTGGGTGCTCACAAGAGTCAAGTTTCACACACAACAGCTCACGGGGTAACAGCCTTTTATATATTTTTCACATGTGGAAAATGAACATAGACATGGGTCTTGAGAAGGGTAATCAACTGCATTCTGAGCTAGGCATTCAATTTCCAAAATAATAAATTTCCTCTATCTTTAGTCTCTGTTCCCTTCCCCTCTTTCTCATTCTGGGTATTTTACCAGAAAATTAGAAGTCTTTAAAATCAAATCAGTGCAATGAAATGTTTGGCTTTTAGGGTGAAATCACCAATGTGATTATATGGCAGGATCCCACATACTCAAAAGGTTCAAATTTGACTTTGCTTGATTTTATATGAGACTGTTAGTGTTTCTGATGCCATTTTTACCCTGAAATTCAAATATTCTCCAAGAGTAGACCTTATGTCGTAGCTTTGTTAACATTATTTCATCTTGTTATTAAGTTTTCTTATTTTATTATAATAATATTATTAATTTTCATTACTCTAAGAAATTATTTCTTAATTTGGTTGACATTTAGGTCTTTCAACTGTCATTATGATTTAAGAGTTTGTTGATTCTCAGTGGTAATCATATAAAAAACAGTTCCAAGGAAAACAATTTGGTGATGATTAACAGCCTCTGATGATTCCACCAATAATTGTACACAGGCAGATCTGTCACTTGACACAAGTGAGTGCCTCAGTCACATGATTCGCTTCCGGTTTGGGGGCTTGGTAGCCTGGTCTATTTTGTGTGCACTGCTCTCAACCATAATGGCACGAGGCATGTTTGGAGAAAAAGCCTCCCAAATGAAAACCATTATGGCATGAGGCACGTTTGGAGAAAAAGGCTTCCAAATGAAAATAACTACTTACAAATCATCCTTGGGTTAAGGAATTCTGTAAAAATTAAAATGGTTCTGTTCTCCTGAGTGCTGTGACTGAAAAGTAGTGGAAATTATAAAAATTAAATATTCTGAAGGCACTTGCCAAATATCAGCAACAGCTATATATTACTTACATAGTAATATAATTTGCCCACAAAAAAGTTAATGTTAAATTGCTCTAATTTTCATATACTCTTAATCTTATTATTGGACAATACATTTGTTTTTTCTTTTGCAACAAGTCAGTAGAAAAAAAAAAAATCTTAGTGACATAAATTTTTGCTTTAAGCCCAACATGAAATAAATAGCACCAAATGTTTGGCTAAAAATAGCTTTGAAATTTTTGAGCCATCTCCACCTCCTGTGGAGCAATGTGGGGGAGAAATAAACCAACCAATAAATAAGATCTAGTTCTGTTTCTAACCTTCCCATTTTACAAATGAAGAAACTTGGCACAAAGAGGGTAAAGAGATGACTGAAGGTAACATGCCTTGTTAAGGGCATCTTAATGGAATATATTAGATGAACTCAGGCAAATCTATGTTCCTGCTCAAGATCACTAGAGAAGTTTTGTTTCTGTTCTCCAAGTTTTCACATTAACAACCAAGAGACAGTGACTTGTGTAAACAGTGACACAAAATGCAGACATTTGGTGAATGAAACGGAAATGAAATAAACACCCATAAAGAAGCAAAACAACTGGGCATGGTGGCTAACAGCTGTAATCCCAGAACTTTGGGAGGCGGAGGCAGAAGGATCCCTTGAGTCCAGGAGTTCAAGACCAGCTTGGGCAACATACAGAGACTCAGTCTCATCTGGGAATGGTGGCATGCACCTGTAGTAAGTCGGGAGGCCGAAGTGGGAGGGCTGCTTGAGCCCAGGAGCTCAAGGCTGCAGTGAGCCATGACAGTGCCACTGCACATCAGCCTGGCAACGGAGCGAGATTCTGTCCCAAAAAAAAAAAGATGTGGCCAGGCATGGTGGCTCACGCCTGTAATCCCAGCACTTTGGGAGGCTGAGGCGGGCAGATCACAATGTCAGGAGTTCAAGATGAGCCTGACCAACATAGTGAAACCCCATCTCTACTAAAAAATAAAAAAAAATAGCCGGGCGTGGTGGCGGGTGCCTATAATCCCAGCTACTCGGGAGGCTGAGGCAGGAGAATTGCTTGAACCCGGGAGGCAGAGGTTGCAGTGGGCCGAGATCACGCCGCTGCACTCCAGCCCTGGTGACAGTGCAAGACTCCGTCTGCCACCTCCTCCCACCCGCCCCCCCCCCCAAAAAAAAGCAGCAGCAAAATAAAGTTAGAGACATCCACCATCAGATTGAGATTTCAGGAGGTCAAACTTGCAAATACACACACTGGTGCATACACACAACTCCAGCTGATGAGGAGCACAACCAAATATTGCTTACCATTCTAAAATTCTAAACAGTAGGGAGAGATCAAAGTCTTACATGAGAAACCCCTGAGCACAGCTGACAGGAGCTGGACATACAGGTCTTCAGCCAGTACGGAAGCAGGGCTCGACTTTGACCTTCACTTTGAGTCCCATGGACATTCCTTCTATCCACACAGAATTTCTAGCTTGAAATCAGGAAGAAGTAAAAACTTTGACCTCATATTTGACTTCTGTATTCTCTTTTCCCTATTAACTCTGACTATCATAAAATACAATTAAATTAAAATTATATCTTAATTAAAACAATAATTTTACCAAATCCTTGTAAATTTGGATCATTAGATGAATGAGAAACTTGCTTTTCACCATTTAGTTTCAGAACTTCTTTAAAAGTCACTATTTCAAATTACTTATTCCTAAATTTACTTTGTTGATACTGATTTTCATGCATTCATTTCCAATTATGGTTGAATAACAGGAAATACAAAAATTTTTCTGCATAAAACTATGGCCCTAAAGCATTGAACGCCAATGAATGATTGAAGCTCCTTGAAGAAAGCATCTCTAAAAGCCCTCAACTGTCAATCCTACAATATAACGAAGGCAGATGACATTCTCAGATTCCTTTATATAGTTTCTTTCATAGTTTCATTTTTTAAAAAAATAAAAGAAATGCTGAAATGTGAAGTTCCTTTTCAGCATGCAATTTGTTCTAATGATAATGTAATTCCTCTATGTAAGGAGTTCCATATTATTTCTTTTTCTCCACACTGAACTGTAAGACAATAATATTATCCCTATGTTTATTACTACCCCTTCAACTTTATGAAGCACAAAATGCCTCCTTTCCTGTTTTCTTGACGTACAGAATTTTGCTTCAGTAAGCCTAAGAGTTTTTTTCCCTAGCCTGTATACGCTTGTTCTGTGCCAACTCATTGTAAAGGAGCCGGTTTGAAAGCTTATCACCATTAATTCTGTGACTTTCCAACTCTGTCTCCCTGGTAACAGAAGCCTACAATTACGAGACAAGAACACAAAGGATTTGCCAAATTATCTAAATTCTAATACTCTAACATTTTATACCCTTCCGCCTCCCATCCATGCATCTATTGTTTTTCCCAAGTCTAAAGCAATGGTCTTCATGTTAGCTTCTCTATCTTCAGTTTTCCTCTGGCCAAGTCATCTAAAACACGCATTCCAGTTGAATCTTTTGGAAACCTTAGGACTGTCATTCTTCCATAAAAAACTTTCACTGCGCCCCAAAACTCTCAGAGCAAAGTACAAGTACTTCCGTTTGGTATTCTAGGATCTCTATGACTGCTAACTATCCCTTTTTTTTTTTTTTTTTTTTTTTTGGCAGAGTTTTGCTCTTGTTGCCCATGCTGGAGTGCAATGGCATGATCTCGGCTCACTGCAACCTCTGCCTCCCGGGTTCAAGCGATTCTCCTGCCTCGGCCTCCCAAATAGTTGGGATTACAGGCACCTGCCACCACACCCAGCTAATTTTTTATATTTTTAGTAGAGACGGGGTTTCACTATGTTAGCCAGGCTGGTCTCAAACTCCTGACCTCAGGCGATCCACCCACCCGCCTTTCATACATATCTCTATGCTTCTGTGACTTTGGCCACTATACGAGCTAGGTCAAGTTTGCCAGTCTTCCTGTGTCTTGCTACTTCACATTGCTATAAACATTCTTAAGTAAACAAAGCTCTGTTTTGAATTAAACATTTCCAAAGCAAAGTATTTCACTAGCTTCCTGATTCACCGCATGCTTATCCCTAACAAGTATGCTTATTCCTTAGGATTCTCCACAGTCAATGGCGCCATTTCCCCAGTTGCTCAGGCCTGTTAAAGTACGAGTTTCAACAAAGCAAAATCATGATTCCTATGTAATAAAAATCATGTCTCTTATGTAAATAAAAAATGAATGTGTGTCAAAGATCTTATACACTTAGTAATTAATGAGGAAGCCAGTAAGATGTTAAAACCAGTTGAAATTAAAATTTGAAGAGGTAGGTGTTTAAAGGCAATTTTACAAAGTAATTTTATGGTAAGATCACCTGGTTAGATATATTAATAAAATGGGATAATGTCCAACAGGGCAATAAACTATAATTTTTAAATCATCTTTTCCACCAGATAGAAATTATCTGTATCTCTACTAGACAAAAATCTGTACATTCACCCCTTCTCCTACAAGGTTTTACAACACCCAAAGCAACAGAAAATCAAAGGTAAAAGCCTACACTGAACGGAAAAACACTCAGTAGTTGCTCCATTTTTGTTTCAGAAAACTTTTCTGATATTCTACCCCTTATGATTATAAATAATCCTCAAAGATTATCTTTAAAGAAAAAGTCTAGCCTCATTAGGTTTGGTCTAATTATTCACATGGATGCAAGGCAACAAGAGTCCTAATCAAACACACAGGCCTCGAGTTTGATCTGAAAATCTAGAGCCTTATAGTATTGAGCAACTATGAAAGATTAAGAATTTTCTGGGTAGATTTTTCATCAGAGGTCTCAGATTTGATTTTTATTATAGTCCTCATATTTTTTTATGCTGAGTGTAGGAGACTCAGCCCAAGACGTTTTCTCCAGCAGATTTTATATATACCCATAAATCTGGGTGAATTCTTCTCTTCTTGATGACTTCCAAATTCTCTAAGGCCTCTGATCTGGTAAGAAATCATACCTTCTGTGAAGCTGATGCTCTGTAAGCCAAGTACCAAGTGCCAAGCCAGGGTTCTTGGGAGACTCTGTAGGCACTGAATCCATACATAACTAGTCTTGAGAACAGGCTTCCAACTAAGAACTTGCTCTTTAATAGGGGGCTTTTCACAGCTGATTAAATGAGAATCATTCTCAAATGCGATATTGCTTGCACAATTGATGTTTCCAATTATGCTCTGATAAAAAGAGAGCAAGATTCTTATTGAATCTTACCCAAATAACTATATTGCCAAGTCAAGTCACAAATCTTAGTAACATAGCTGTTTCTGAATTCTAAGGGATGAGTGAGAATGAGATACCACTAAAAATGTTTCACTGCAGTTTACCAAAGCATAGTCTATTAAACTGAGGCTTAGAGACAGCTTGGGAAAAAGGAGAAAGGGTTTCCTCATACAACCATAAATAAGAGAGCATTCCAACAACAGCAACATATCTAAACAAATAACCACAATTAAATTAGTCTCATCAGTTCATTTAGTCCTTAGTAATTAAGTTTTATTCTGCTGGATACTGCTTTCATAAAGTATGTCTGCTGCTGGACTGAAAGAAGTCCTGGAAATCCTTAGTCACTGATACAGTCTGCAAGTTGTCTAAGCAATACCTGTTTGTAAGGCTGTGCTTGACAATTCCCTGAAGGGGCAATGGTTCATAATGCTGGTACAGGCCTTTCCACAGGTTCTGAACTCCCCTTTGCTAAAGGTATAAACTCTAGCCTGAAGCTTATAGCAAAGTCACCAGGCAAACATCAGAAGGGAAAAGAGCTCTTGCTTGATGGTAAGACTCATGGCGAAGGTCATATTCCAGGAACAGTATTATCACAGCAGGCAAGAGTAAATTTCTTTTTTGGGATAGAGGACATAACTATTTCATAAGGGTTTCCCCTGAGAGAGAAGACATATGATGGATAGCAGAGGCACTGACAATTTCCAGGGTCTTCTCAAAATGTGTACACTCTATAAAATATTTAAAAAAATGAATAACATTTTACTTATACAAATTTAACCTAGTGAAGGTTAAGCATCTTTCCTGATTTGACAACTATCTTCATACAGTTCTCACAATAGTTTGAGGTAATTAAGACATATGGAACCCATGAAACAAACCCAATTATTTCTAGTATTCTTTTACTTATAAAGTGAAAGAATAATCTTTATGAGGCCCCCTCAAAACACAAAGATAGCATTAGATGTAAAAGACATTTTACACTGAAATTTTTTTTTTCTAAATTTGCAATCAAATTGTAGAAGGCAAAAATCAAAGTGTTGTCAGAGGAAATTTGCTCACTGAATTAGGATGGAACCATGGGGGCATGAGAAACAGTATCTGGTTACCTATTTAATCAACGTGGCAAACAGAAGAAGGCACACAAGTACCAGGAAACTTCAGTTCTTTACTAGTGAGGAACTTTGGCTCACTGAACTTCGTGTTTGTTTACATTTATTTATCTTGTTTTGTTTTTGTAAATAATCAAGGACATGATAAGGTCCACACAAAGTTGAGATGCAGAATCCTTGCTACTTAGGCAGATTACTCTGCAGGTAAAGAATGATCTTTTGTCACTCCATCCGCCCTCTGTTAACTCTAAGGCCAATTTATCATTTTAACATAGAGAAGTCATTTTCTAGTTTTGTTTTAATGTGAAGTTTGGCAGTAAAGTTTTCATGAGCTCCTTTTATTTTTTTATATCTTGTGAATAATTCTATCAAAACTGAACAGAATTTACCAAAAAATTAACACGTTTCATTATTTCTTTACAGATTCAGATATTATAAAAACAAGGCAAATACAATTTGTTTCCTCAAACACTCTATAGCTAGCTCTCCACACTCATTATTCTCTTCATATGCTGGAATACACTAATACTTTTCTTTGGGACTAGTCTTGTTTTTTATTTGTTTTTGTTTTCTTACACAAATGCACTTACACAGTTGTGTTCCTTGTCATAATTCCTCCTTGTGATAACAGTAGTCCTAATTTTTAGCAGATATTACAACTTCTATTTCATAGACAAAGCTGGGTGGGAGATAACTGAGAACTGTCATAGACAGCATTTTAGCAGACTAGCAAAGCTCAAAAATACACAACACATACCTTCCTAAAGCCACATTCATCCTTTTTGCACATTCTTAAAGTGACAAAAAATGAACACGTTTAATGATATGATCCATAAAATAAGAACCAAAAATATTAAAAAATTAACATTTGCTTAATGTTAGTTCTTATAATGTTCTATCTTAGAAATTATTCAGGGATCTAAAATAATACTGATTAATTAGCTCAATTTAATTTTAATCCAAATTTTGAAGTTACTCTGGGCCTTGAAATTATGTTTAAGCTAACATTCTATAAAACATAATCACTGTTATAAAATCATTGGTCAAAACTGTAATTCAATATATTTGAAAACATTTCATAATCTCAAACATTATTTAGAAGTAATATTATCTTTTTGGTTAGCAAACCAATATAAGTATAGTAGTGTCGAAAACTCAGACTAAGTAGTTGCTTCATGAGAAAAATTTAAATCTTATGAAGAATATAATATAGTATATTATACTTAAAATTGAAATATCATAGAAAAGTTATATAACTTTTTTCTTAAGAAAAATGATTAAACCAATCTAATCAAAAATTCACCTCATGTGAAGTCTTAAATTGTTTCTTTTTTAGTAGTTTCTGTAAGAATATTTTAAGTCTAGTACAATATTAGGAGATACTCTGAATTTTCTAAATTTCTTATATTGAACATAATTTAAATATGAATATTTACTGAATTCATTGTAAGACATAGTATGATTGAAGAATATAGGATATGGTGGATTGCGACATTTTAAATTATGGGTTTAAAAGTTTTGTATATCCTTATCTATTTTATTTTCTAAGACCTAAATATTAATGCACTGACACAATAACTAATCAGAAATAAAAGTTGACATAGACATAAAGACACCACGGGTAATAAGAAAGAACAAGCAGCCGGGCGCGGTGGCTGGCGCCTGTAATCCCAGCACTTTGGGAGGCTGAGGTGGGTGGATCACCTGAGGTCAGGAGTTTGAGACTAGCCTGGGCAACATGGTGAAACCCCGTCTCTACTAAAAATATAAAAATTAACCAGGCATGGTGGCGCATGCCTGTAATCCCAGCTATTCAGGAGGCTGAGGCAGGAGAATTGCCTGAACCCAGGAGGTGGAGGTTGCAGTGAGCCAAGATCATGCCACTGCATTCCAGCCTGGGTGACAGAGCAAGACTCTGCCTCAAAAAAAAAAAAAAAAAAGAAAGAAAGAACAACAAGCATATTTTTCACTATGTGTAATTATTTTAAATGAGCTGTCACATTTTAAATTTACCTAGAAATTAGACCATTTGCAGGCCCATTTCGGCGGGGAGGCAGAACGACAGAAAATCATACACATTTTCCATTAATGGACTCTTGCTGTGGGAAAGGGTGAGCTGTCCTGAAGACCTCTATCCAGTGTTCATAAGTTTATCACTCACCTCTAATAAAAAGCAATCACTATGTGAATTTATAGAAAATATTAATTTCATGTTTATTTTTAGCCTATGAATATAGTGGCTTTCATTAATATACAATGTATTTTTATCATTTCTGAAAGGTTTTTATCCAGTGTTTTGCTGAAGCTTTTTGTCTTCTGAAGTACACTAAATTTTCAATTTAATAATTTAGTTCAGTTAATACTCATTTTACTTCGTGTAGTAATAAATTATTCAACTTATTATTACCTTGTGGACTTCCATAATTTTTCAAATTGTAGTCAGCAACACTGTCTGCAGCAGATTATTAAGTAAAACCATATATAGAAAACATACATTTAATCTTTCTTAGATACTGTTTCATGTCTTGCTAAACAGCAGCTTTGGGGCCAAGCACAGACGGAAATTCTCCCAAGCCCAGCTCTACCTCCTCTCTGACTCCAAGTAGGTTGAACGCTCCCACTTTCAGCACATTCAGTCTTTTGGCAATGGAGATGCACAAGTTGCCTGGAATCATAAAAGGCTCCTCGGCTTGCCTATCTTTCTAGTTCCCAGGACCCTGCCTGTGCTCCTCCTCCTCCTGCCACCCAGATATGGCTACTAAGCCCCACCCTCACAGTCCACACCATCCTCCAGGCAGAGTGCACCCCCCATGGAAGGCTCTGAGCTGGAGAAGCACACACCACCAGTCCAGACCACACTTGGCAGTAGCAATCAGGGTCAAAGGTTAACATGTACTTGCAGGATAAAAATGGATTCTGTCTTATACTCAGTATCTAAAGATAGGGCTGGTGATCACCATCACTGGAGCCATCATCACTGCCAGCCCGCACAGACCTAATCCCTCCCTGGGAGAATATGTATCTGCAGCCTAAAGTCTGAAGCCTTTTCCCAAAGCCTTAACCTTCCATAAAAAATAACCGTTGAATATTTTCAGAAAGGCAGGCACTCCCCACAAAAAAGAACAAGATTCCCATAAATACGGTGGTGTATCCCCTAGCTGGCCCTAATTATAGAGCCCCAATTTTCTTAGTAAACTTGTAGCTAGCTAAGTACCACTAGGCAATGCTAACCTGATGCCATTTATGAAAAATAAATTTCAGAGATTTATTCTGTATGTGTGTATTTAAAAATCTGAAAGCAATACGGTATACTGCAAAGAATATGGTTTGGAAATCCTATAGATTTGGTTGAAGTCCCTGCACTGACACTAAATAGCTGTATGTTATTGGAAAACTACCAAAAGCTTATCTAAGTAAGGCTTAGAAAAAACAGTCAAGTTATTTTCATGATTAATAAGATGCATATAGAGAACTTAGCATAGCTCTTAGAATATAGTAATAGTCATAGTTTATTGAGCAATTGCTATTAATATTATTGAATACCATTTCAGTGTATTCAACTTTTCTTTCCGTGGCTTATTAATAGAGTATCTACTTAACTGCATATTCAATTCCATGTCTTTATTTTTCATATTATAACATTGTCCATATTAAAATGGCTTTATTTACAATTTTGTTGACTACTATTCTATTGAATACTGACAGCCTAATTTTATGAAGGTCTGTGACCTTTGCTATCTTCCTAACATGATTCTTTACAGGAAATTACATAAAATATCAAAAAAAAGGAAAAGAAATATTGTAACTATTGCAGCCTCATTCATGGAAAAGACAGGGTACCCAAACTAAAAATCCAAGGGATGAAATCTTCAAGGACACCAGCTGATTTTTGTGCATCAAGAAGCAAACAGTCACTCAGTTATGCAGCTGAGCTATGGCAAACCTTACCTGTCTTACAGAAGACAGCTAAGAGCTACAATAAAAGAGGTCAATTGCAGCTCTTCTTTCATAGAGTTTTCTCTTTCATAGCATGGAAAAAACAAAGTCAGGGATTCCTTAATTATTTCTCTGATCCTATAAATTTTTTGCTGGCATAGTTGTTTAGCTGTATGGGCCACTACATGAAATGCTAAGGAAGAAAAAAAAAGTGCTTTTTGAAATACTCAAAAATTGTCTTTTGAAAACTAAATTGTGCTTTCAAGGAAAAAGTATTCACATAAAAGTAATAATCAACAAATCGGATATAACTGATGAGATTGTTTGATAGCCACCTTGCTTCTATTCACGTACTCTACGTGTCTTCTCAAAAGACTCCCACCAAACCCCATTCTTGTCATTTCCAGAATGAAAGGAGACAAATTCTGACCCTGAGCCACAGTGCATAAACTTTCTCTTTTTTTTTTTTTTTTTTTTTTTTGAGACAGAGTCTTGCTCTGTCGCCCAGGCTGGAGTGCAGTGGCAAGATCTCAGCTCACTGCAAGCTCCACCTCCTGGGTTCATGCCACTCTCCTGCCTCAGCCTCCCCAGTAGCTGGGACTTCAGGCGCCTGCCACCACGCCTGGCTAATTTTTTGTATTTTTAGTAGAGACGGTTTCACCGTGTTAGCCAGGATGGTCTCGATCTCCTGACCTCGTAAACCGCCCGCCTCGGCCTCCCAAAGTGCTGGGATTACAGGTGTGAGCCACCACACCCGGCCTAAACTTTCTAAAGCAGATTCCAGTTTTCCCAGGTAAAATCACACAAAGAAACCAAACATATAAAATAAATAAAAGGTTTTTAAAATTAAAATACAAAGTTTTTTTTTTTATTTTTTCATAGACAGAGTCTCTCTCTTCTGCCCAGGCTAGAGTGCAGTGGTGTAATCATAGCTCACTGTGGCCTTGACACCCTGGGCTCCAGGGATCCTCCCACTTCAGCATCCTGAGTAGCTAGGACTACAGATACATGTCACCATGCTTGGCTAATTTTTTTATTATAAAAATTTTTTTGTAGAGATGCAGGTCTCGATATGTTGCCCAGGCTGGTCTCAAACTCCTGGCCTCAAGCAATTCTCCCACTTTGGCCTCCCAAAC